>NW_025791778.1:300000-508332 GCF_000001405.40 Homo sapiens | reverse complement strand
GAATTCACTATCCCAGTTCACCACCAGTGAAAATTTTAACAACTGGACTGCCACCTTGTGGCAGGAGCTGTGTTCCACCTACTACTAGTTATAGGGCCCTTATTTGCCAGCTGAGAAATGATTCAGCTTGAAACCCCCATCTTATTGCCTGCTTTCTAAGACAACTCCCATTACCAATAGTTACATAATTCCCTGGGAAGCAGGCTACGAGATGGAGTTTATTGAAAAAGATGTTTATTAGGGTGTACCCTTGGGATTACCACCAGTTGAAGAAAAGGGGAAGGAAGTAGGCAGAGGGAAAAGTCCAACTATGATGCAGTTCCTACTATAGCCTTGCTAACCCCACCAGGAGCTTAGAAGCCAAAATGAACCTTTAGAGTTGTTCCACATTGAGCCAACATGGCTGGAACTTCATACCTTTGTCTTGATCTGCCATTAAATGCAGGATGCCCCAGGAAGGGCATGACCTTAGATGAGGCAGATGTGTGTAACTGAGGACATCCCTGAGGATTCTGACAGCTGAACTCTGTCTACTGATAACACTCCTAGCACTTAGGCAAAAGGACCTCCTTGAAGATGGATGGGGTGGTACATCTCCATGTCCATTAAAAACATTTTTTAGGCTGAGTGCAGAGGCTTACACCTGCAATCCCAGCATTTTGGGAGGCCGAGGCAGGAGGATCACTTGAGCCCAGGAGTAGAAGGCCAGCCTGGGTAATATAGTGAGACCCCCATCTCTACAAAAAAAACCCAAAAAATTAGTCAGGCATGGTGGCACGCACCTGTGATTCTAGCTACTCAGGAGGCTGAGGTGGGAGGATCACTTGAGCCCTGGAGGTTGAGGCTGCAGTGAGCCATGGTCACACCACTGCACTCCAGCCTGGGTGTCTCTGTCTCAAAAAAACCAAACAAAATAAAATGGGGAAAAAAGCCTTTGTTTTTCCCCACAGAGCTCAGGGAAACATTTACTTATGTTTACTGGTTTGTTATAAAGGATGTTCCAAAGGATACAGAAGCGATGCATAGGGCAAGGTATAGGAGAGGAGGGGAGCAGAGCTTCAATACCCTACCAAGGCACACCACCTTCCAGGAACCTCCTAGTTTGCCAGGTTTGCAGCTATTCAAAAGCTCCCCAAACCCTGTCCTTTGGGAGTTTTAACAGAGGCTTCACTACATAGGCATGATTGATTAAACCATTGATCATTGGTGATCAACTTAACCTTCAGCACCTCTCCTCTTCCTGGAGGTTGCAGGGTGGGAAAGTCCTAACCCTTTAACCCTGTCTTAGTCTTTTCTGTGACCAGCCCCCAATTCTGAAGCTGCCCAGGGGCTTCCAGCCACCAGTCATCTCATTAGGATACAAAGACATCACTCTGGAGTTTCTAAGGATTTTAATAGTTGTATGCCAGGAAATGAGGTCAAGGGCCAAATACATAATTCATGATATCACAGTCTACCTCCGATGTGTAATTCCTTACTTAAAAAGACGTACAACTCAAAAGACACTGCCACATTACTAGAATCTTATTCAATTATTAATAATTAGTTCAGTCCATTATCATATTGTATGAATTTGTATCCCAGGGTGAGGCCACTCAAGTTTGCAGGATTTTCATTGATCTTATCAGGTTCTAAAAGCAGCAGTGGTCTTGGCTTCACCCTGTAAGACACCTGGTATAATTGAACTAAGAGACAATGTCATCTCTTGCTCTGAGCCTTTTTCAAGGTGTTAATGTAATGTGATACTAGATTTATCTGAATTCATAACCCATTTATTCCTTTATTCTCAGCTGCTCTTCTTTCTTCACTTCATTAATAAGCGTTGCAAAGGACATTAGAGTCAACACTGTGCTGGTCTAGATTGTAGGCATCACTACTGGTAATTACCTTCTCCTTAGTCCATTTCCATTCAGATAGGCTAAGTTTATGTAGGTGCCAAATTATTGCACCATTTTTACCACCAGGCAGTATAGCTGCATTCACTGTTAACCCCAATTTTGCACAACCCACTCCCATCAGGCCCTTAGCAATTCTGATATGAGGCTTAAAAACGTATTTACAGTTTCTTGTTTAGAAATCATCCCTGCTTCCAGTACTTGTAGTTACAGCTCTGGTCCTAGAACGACTTTTTTGATCAGAGGAGCAGCCTTCCAAACAGGAGGTTGCCCACTCACCTTGGAATCTTGGAGCTGTCATCCACAAACTCAGCAGTTGTTGGGTGGTTAGTTGAGAGCTGTTTATAGGGCACTGTGCAAGTGTTGACAGAACCCAGCAGCTCCTCAGTTTTATAGTCAGTACTTACAGTGGCTTTTATCTAGTTCACTAGGCTGACTGTTCCCTCAGGAACACTCCTATGTGCCTGGATCACATATAGCCATCTGCAATTGTTCAATAGTGAGTTGTGTGCCCTGCATCGACCCAAATATGCCCTTCCACTCTGAAGCATTTAAAGCCAAATAAATTTTACCAATGTGTTATGAAGAATATTACAAAGGATACAGATGAAGAGATGCATAGAGGTATGGGGAAAGGGGTGAGGAGCTTCCATGACCTTTGTGGGAGCACTACCCTCTAGAAGCCTCCACATGTGCAGCTATCTAGAAGCTCCAAAAACATTAAAAAAAGTTTTAAATTTTAAAATAATTTAAGACCCAAAACATTTTTAAAAATAGTATGAGTTTCCATTTGTCCTTCCCTCACAGCTTCCTCAAAAGTTAACATCTTATCCTCAATGTAAGAAATTATCATTGATACAATTAACTAACCTGTAGACTTTATTCAAATTTTGCCAATTGTTCCACTAATGTCCTTTTTCCGGTCTAGGAATCGGTCATTAACTTCTCCTTAACTTCTTCCAATCTAGGACAATTTTCCAGTCTTTCTTTAGCTTCTATGACCTTAACACTTTTTAAGAGTGCTGGCAAGCTATTGGTTAAATGTCTCTTAATTTGGGTTTGTCTGATATTTCCTTATGACTAAATTTTGGTAGTACATTTTTGGCAAGAATAATACAGAAATGATGTGCAGTCGTCATATCAGGAGATATGTCAGGTTAATGTTTCATACTGGAGATGTTAACTTTGGTTATTTGATAAAGAGTTTGTCTCCACTGTAAAGTTACTGTTTGCCGTCTGTAATTAATAAATATTATAACAATATCTTTGTAATTAACAAGTATCATATGAGGAACTGCTTGGAGAATGATCTATTTCTTAACAGGATAATAGTTATTTACTGAAAAGGTAGGACTATGTTCCAAATCCCAGAGGCCCACGCTGTAATTCTCTTGTTAGGGAATGTCTTGGGCTTCATATAACATTCTGCTATAGTAGACACTTTAAACATAATTTATTTTTTCAGACAGCGTCTTGCTCTGTCGCCCAGGTTGGAGTTCAGTGGTGTGATACCGGCTCACTGCAACCTCTGCCTCCTGGGTTCAAGCAATTCTCGTGCTTCAGCCTTCCGAGTTGCTGGGATTACAGGCCTGTGCCACCACACCTGTCTAATTTTTTTTATTTTTAGTAGAGATGGGGTTTCACTATGTTGGCCAGGCTATTCTCAAACTCCTGACCTCAAGTGATCCACCTGCCTCGGCCTCCGAAAGTGCTGGGATTACAGGCATGAGCCACTGCGCCCAGCGTTAAACATAATTTTATCTGCTGAGTCATAACTCCCAAGTGGTGTTCCTGTTCTTAATGCATTCTGGAGTACCTGTAGAGCCTTCTTTGATTTGGAGTTCAGTTTAAAGCTGGCAGCCTTAACAGTGACTCAGCAAAAAGATCAGAGAAGGATGCCAAAAGATAACATGTTGCCTCCAAAATCAAGAGGCTCACCAAGTTTGCCTTTTTCTTCATGGTAGGGAGTGTAGGAAGGGCAGCAGCAACTTGTTTTTCACTTTCTTGGAAATATCTTAACATGCCCTAGATTTCTGAATCCCCCAAAACTTCAGAGAGGACAGTTCCTTAAATTGTTGTGGGGCTTACTTATCTCCTCTTCTGCCATACATACGTCTTACGAAGGCATCTAGGGCACATGTTACTTGCTATTGAAGAGGTACAATCAGCATGATCCCATTAGCGTGCTGGAAAAATGTGATGTCCTATGGGATGGTGAGATAATTAGAACCTTGTATGACTCTCAGAGGAGCAGGAGCACCCCTAACATTTGTGATACCTAGGGCAAGAATAAAAATAGAGATTTATTTTCCCAGCTACTCGGGAGGCTGAGGCAGGAGAATGGCGTGAACCCGGGAGGCGGAGCTTGCAGTGAGCCGAGATAGCGCCATTGCAGTCCGGCCTGGGCGAAACGAAAGAGCCAGACTCCGTCTCAAAAAAAAAAAAGAAAAAAGAAAAAAAAATAGAGATTTATTTTCCTGAGTCTTTGTTTTTTTTTTTTGTTTTTGTTTTTTTTTCCTCTACACTATTGAAACTGTGCCCCAAAGAGTTAAAGAAACCAGTAACTAACAGAAATTCTTGAGTTTTCATAATGGCAGATAAGAAACAACTTGCTGAAACACTGAGACTCCCTCTGCTTAAAAGAAATGAACTGGCTGAAATCGGTTGTAACCTAGATAGATAAATGGAGTTTGCACAGAATGAGCTTGCTGAGATCGCAGCCTGAGTTTCCACCACAGGTTTCATACTAACTCCCCCGAATTCGCACAAAGACCCTTGCGGAGGCATGAAGAGGTAAGTGCACATGCCCAAGGACTTCCCATGCCTCCCCTTTCCTTCCGCTAATCACCGCTCTCAGAATCTGCCCCCTAAATCTTTTCTTTTTCTTTTCTTCCTTTGTTTCTTTTTTTTTTTTTTTTTTTGAGACGGAGTCTTACTCAATCGCCCAGGCTGGAGTGCCGTGGTGTGATCTCCGCCCATTGCAACCTCCACCTCCCGGGTTCAAGTGATTCTCCTGCCTCAGCCTCCTGAGTAGCTGGGATTACAGGCGCACGCCACCACGCCTGGCTAATTTTTGTATTTTTAGTAGAGGCAGGGTTTCACCATGTTGGCCAGGCTGGTCTCAAACTCCTAACCTTAGGTAATCCACCCGCCTCGGCCTCCCAAAGTGTTGGGATTACAGGCGTGAGCCACCACGCCCAGCCCCGTAAAGCATTTCTAACAAAATTACTGCCTGAAAGCCAGCATGGGAAGACACTTGACGTTTACTCCTGTCTCCTTGGGAATCCATTTTCTTTCCTTTGTGTGTTTGTTGCTATAACAAAGACTTTCAATATAAAGCTTTTCTTTTCTCAAAAATGCAGTGTCATATTATTGGCTTCTAGCATATCAGGTAGTGAGTCCCTTTTGCTGGATAACATTATCCTAAGGCATTATTAGCATCTTAATTTCCTTTGTTAAATTGTGGCTGTCATTGAATTGAGTCAGCTGACCAAAAGAACTATTAGAGATAATCATGTGAAAGCTTGAACACTGAATTCAGAATCTCTGGCAAACGAACCCACCTAAATTCAACTCAATCTAAAGGTTTTTTCTTTGTTTTCTGTTATAGCATACTCAGTTCTCAAACATATTCCTAAGGTTTCTGTGATGTAGTTAGCAAAATTATGCAATTCTTTCAGTATATATGCCTTCTAATATTGGGACTGGCTTTGTGCTTGTCCCCATTGAACATGCTAGGATATGAATCTAATTAGAGGTCTAGAGGCAATGAGAGTTGGCAAATGAAGGGCATGGAGAAAATTAGCAACCCTTTGCAATGTAACTGTCTCAGCTGAGGTCATTACAGACTATGCATGCAAAGAGGACAGTCTTATTAAAAAGGAAAATGAGTTTGCTTCTGCTGGGATAAAAAAGGGCTCAATTGGTTTGGGGATTCAAGATACAATCACATCTGAATTCACCTAGCTGTCCCCATTCCCATTCTAAGGATACTACTCTTTCTGGATCAATGCTCTAGCAATTTCATTAAAAAACATGCAGTGGTTGTGAATTCAACTTTGTAATTATTTATCAACCTGAAGAATCAGACTTTTTGTCTGATTTTTATCTATGTAGTCCTGTAGCCGTGGGATAAAAGAGATGTTTTTAAAGCAATCATTAAAATATTTGATTTTCATATCTTTCCTGACCCAAGAATTTTAAAACCCTAAGTTCGTTATTTTCTTTAATTGAATTCTCGATTGCAGTCAAAAGTAATCACCACATCCCCTGAACCTTTCTCTTCCCCACCATAATGCTTTGGTACACCAGCCACTTTGCTTACCAGAGAATTACCTTCAATAAGCAATTAATTCCAGACAAACACAAGTGATAACCTGAGTAAATGTTTTGCTGTTGCTTACCAGGGACTACCAATATCTTATTTTCTAGAGGATATGGGACTATCATTGCCTTTGATCTATCTAGGTCATATAATCTATCCTAAATTTCATTCTTCGGTGTTTGTTGCCTGCAAATTCTGGTACAAAATATATTTTTGGGGCTCAGGGCACATAACAAAAACAACTCTAATCAGTTTAAGCAGAAAAATATTTAACAGAGATAATTAGATTTTTATAGCATCATTGGAATGTGTGGATAAGTGGAACTCAGGAACTATTGAGTTCCAAGAACAACTTGCTACACCTGTGACCCAGGGTTAGTAGGCCACTTCTACTGTTGCTACCACCTCTCAATACCCACACAGTTGCTCCTAGATACAGGAACACTCAATCTGGCTGTTGCTCCTGGTGACACTGGAATGCTGAACCTTCCTTCCACAGCTACTTCTCAACCCTTTGCTTGTACAACCAAATGCAGCAGTATAGCAGATGCTATTGATGCCTGTCCTATATTCCCTTGGCCCACCTCAGAGTTTACCTGCAGTTCAATGAAAACTTTTTAGCAAGCTTACAGCAGCTTCTCTTGTGATATGGTTTGGCTGTGTCCCCACTCAAATCTCATCTTGAATTGTACTCCCATAATTCCCACGTGTTGTGGGAGGGACCTGGTGGGAGATAATTGAATCATGAGGGCAGTTTCCCTCCTACTGTTCTGGTCGTAGTGAATAAGTCTCATGAGATCTGATGGTTTTATCAGGGATTTCCACTTTTGCATCTCTCTCATTTTCTCTTGCCGCTGCCATGTAGGAAGTGCATTTCACCTACTGCCATGATTCTGAGGCCTCCCTAGCCATGTGGAACTGTAAGTCCAATTAAACCTCTTTTGCTCCCTAGTTTCAGGTATGTCTTTATCAACAGTGTGAAAATTGACTAATACATCATGTCAAGCACTTTTGTCTTTCTACTTCTCTTCCTGGGAGGGATTTCTCTGATGCCATAGGAGCTTGCTCTGCCCATTCACATTGCAATCTGGAATTTCCAGAAATTTAATGCCCTTAGGGTTAACACTCAATGAAAGATGGAAGGTGAGATCAGTCTACCACTAACTTTCTGGTTCTTTGATGGGACAATTCTACAGTATGTTCCACACAGTTCCTCATAGAGTTCCCTAGCAAGATTGAGGCCCATGTATTCACAATGGTAATCTGCTTATTAAAATAATAATTTTTAATTTATTGATGTTTCTCCCTTCTTTTTCTCAGTTTCCACACTTCCTCACTGGTGCTTCTCTAGATAACTTTTTAAATAAATTAATTGCACCTAAGTCCTTGTCTCTAGGTCTGCTTTTGGGAGAACTCAACAAAGATAGCAACTTAGAAAGCAAATTCTAAGGATGGGATTCTGAACTTGAATTACTTGCTGGTCACATGGCAGCAATCCAATTCTGGTAGAAAGTGGGGTTGTGATAATCCCTGTCATGCTGTAGCATCCCACTTACTAAGATTCTCACCTGTGGAGGATTGAAATGAGCAACAGGTATAACTACTGGCTTATGCAATAGCTTCTGCACATGACACAAATGGAAAAAATTGTAATTGAAAGGATTGTGAAGTTTGCTTCTTTTTTCTACTGACCATAAGCCCTGAATATATAGCATGATTAGCTCAAATTATCCACCTATCAATTTAGAGAACACTGTGAAAGCCAAAGGCTTTCCATGGAAAAATTTTAAAAGACATCTCTTTTCTACAGCTGGAGGGCTAGATGTACTGAAAATCAGGCTCAGTATTTGAATGTATTAGTGCCAGAGCTACAAAGCAGACTGAAAACACAACGATCTAAGTTTTCTTTGTTAAAGTTAGAATCCTGATAGGAAAGAAATATTCCACATACTCTGAGTCCTGGGATGAGGACATTTGGTTGGATGTACTTGAGATACTTATATTCTCAGATTCCCTTGAACTCTTTCTAGCCATGGATCCTCCTCCTTTCTAGGGAAATAAAGCCTTTCATTGCTTGGAGATAATGTAATGCCTTCATCTGATATTAATGCCTTACAAGATGAAACTTACCCTATTCAAGACCTGTCCCCACTGCTTTTATATCTATAACTAAGGTTAAATAATGACGTGAGCTGGAAAGTACAATTCCTGCTCATGAGAAAAATAAATCCTATTCATTAGAAAATAAAATTTAGGCCAGGCACAGTGGCTTATGCCTGTAATCCCATCACTTTGGGAAGCCGAGGCAGGCAGCTCACAAGGTCTGGAGATCGAGACCATCCTGGCCAACATGGTGAAACCCTGTCTCTACTAAAAATACAAAAAAATTAGCTGAGCATGGTGGCATGCACCTGCAGTCCCAGCTACTCAGGAGGCTGAGGCAGGAGAATTGCTTGAACCCGAGAGGTGGAGGTTGCAGTGAGCTCAGATCGTGCCACTGCACTCCAGCCTGGTGAGAGAGCGAGACTCCGTCAAAAAAAAGAAAAGAAAAGAAAATTTAAAAAAATTATATTCACTAAAGAAACTACAAGGCATGGCTAATATGTACCAGCAGAAACATGGGGATTATGCTTGGAAATTAATATTGAACATAAATGTGTGTGTGTGTGTGTGTAATATGCTGCTGGATAGAGGAGTGTTTAGGGTACAAAGGTACTCTCTCTTGACTTCAGATTTGTACTTCAGAATTGCCTCCTGGCAATGACACCTATGATAAGAACTAATACATTGCTGGGTTGGCCTCTTGAAGCTTGGGCATAATGATGGACTACAATAAACGAGTTGGAGTTACCAGAACTACCTTGGAGAGTACTGAAGGGGTCAGAAGCGTCAAACATATTAGAGTGGATTTATTAGATGACACTAGAAAAGTCATCTGCAGAGTCTTTTCTTTGGGAGAGTCCATAGATTTTCATACATTTGTATGTATTTATTTATTTTGAGATGGAGTCTCGCACTGTCGTCCAGGCTGGAATGCAATGGCACGATCTCAGCTCACTGCAACCTCCGCCTCCTGAATTCAACCAATTCTTCTGCCTCAGCCTCCTGAGTAACTGGGATTACAGGTGCCCGCCATCATGCCCAGCTAATTTTTGTATTTTTAGTAGAGATGGGGTTTCATCATGTTGGCCAGGCTGGTCTTGAACTCCTGACCTCAGGTGATCCGCCTGCCTCGGCCTCCCAAAGTGATGGGATTACAGGCATGAGTCACCGTGCTTGGTCCATACATTTACTTCATTCATGCAAATAAGGATATACTAATGAAGGGGCATTCGTATATTTTTATTTTTATTTTGTTTTATTTTGCATTTCGTATGTTATCCAGTTTCACATTCTCACAGGATCAGCAATGACAACAGCCATTTAGTCTCCCAAGTCTGAAATGGCAAGACATTCACAGCTGTGGCTGACTACGTAAAGCACTGATATGCTCACAAAACAAAAAACATTGCACAATATTTCCTTCATTTCATTTTTCTTAAACAAATACCTGACAGGCTTATGCTGAAGAATGGAAAACCTTTTCTTCTTCCTGCCTCAAACTTAACATTAAACTTATGTGACAGAATGAACAAGGTCACTTTAACAATTAATGGTACACACATGAAAAATCTTTTACGATGCATAAATATTTTGTTGCCATGTTGCCCAGGCTGGTCTTGAATTCCCAGCCTGGAGCAATCCTCCCACCTTGGTGTCTCAAAGTGCTGGGATTACAAGTGTGAGCCACTGTGCCTGGCCCATTCAGAATTGTTTTAAAGACTTTCTATATATCTATTATGTATCTAAATTCAAATTTGCTCTTTTGTTAATATGATGAATTACTTTACATTGATTGTTTTAATTTAACACATACTACATTTATTATTTAGGGGTTTTGTTTGGTCTTGAATAACAGAAAACTCCCAAGATATGCTCCACAAATCAACAAGGTGCTGATTTTTCTCCTAGGAGAGTCCAGAAATAGGTAGGGCAAGGATGGTGTAGCTACTGAACAATACAGTAGGGGAATAAGGTACTTATTTGTTCATTTTTCCTGAAATAGTGTATGACTTGGAGAAACAGGGCCTTGAGAAGTATTATGGGAACAACATGCTCACCATAAAAATTAGACTTTTGATAAATGTCAAGAAAATGGAGTCAGAATATTAAAGAAAGCCTTTAATCCTGAAATTCTGCAACAGTGGTATGAATAAGCAGGTTTAAGCTTGCAAGGAAATTCAGGCAGCTATGCCTGTCTGGTCACCAAAGTGAGGTCATGAAAGATGACAAGCTCATAGCGATGTTTGTGGAAGCTATCACTTGTTTTTTTGTTTTTGTTTTTTTTTTTTTTTTTGGAGACAGGGTCTCACTCTGTCACCCAGGCTGGAGTGCAGTAGCAGGATCTCGGCTCACTGCAACCTCCATCTCCCAGGTTCAAGCAATTCTCCTGCCTCAGTCTCCTGAGTAGCTGGGATTACAGGCATGCTGATTTTTGTATTTTTAGTAGAGATGGGGTTTCACCATGTTGGCCAGGCTGGTCTCGAACTCCTGGCTTCAAGTGATCCACCTGCCTCAGCCTCCCAAAGTGCTGGGACTACAGGTGTGAGCCACTGTGCCCAGCCTGGAAGCTACCACTTCTGAGGGAATTGAAGTTAAGTGCTTAGGTGATTGGCTCAATGCTAATGTTGTTCAACAGAGCCAGTAATCAAAAAGACATGCTTAAAGTTTGGAACTGATGGGTACTTCTAGATCTGTTTGTCAATCTGCTACTGCCACATCCTTTTGAGATTTATGGCTTCCATTTTATTTCTTCATTCCAAATCTCACTCAGTTTCCTCTTTTGTTCAACTCTAACCTATAAACCATAGACAAAGAGGATTCTGGAAAATGTATTTCTAAGCCATATAACACAGTCCAGCACAATCATCATTACCTGTAACTTTCATCGACATGGCTGCAAGGTCCCTCTTTTCAACTTGAAGGGCTGTGTTCAACTTGAAGCAGTAGCAAAATACAGAAGGTTAAATAATCAGGTCAGAGGTCAGATGAAACTGTCCTTTTTCAATAACTGCATATTTTTAAGTTTCTATCAACTATATTGACCAAGACAATTAGTTGTAGAGTACACTCTCTGCAAAACTCTGCTGAAGATACCTCTTTCACCAGTGAAGTTGAAAAATTCTAAGTTTTCTTAGTAAGGAAGAAGGGCAGGGTAGATATCAGCTAAGGAAATCCTAGGATCTGCTATGGTAAGCCAGAAAAAAGAAACCTCCAAAGTACCAAACTCAATAGCACAATGACCACTTGCATTAACTATAATGAAATTGAATTAGAAACAATAAGAAAATAAATTTTAAATTATTTTATTTCAGCCTTATAGGTCCAAGGAGACTTCACAATGGAAATTAGACACTTAATAAACGATAATAAAAATAATATATATCAAAGTTATGTGAGATAGCTGAAAGGGTACTGGGAGCAATAGTTATCATCATAAAAGTTTTTATTAGAAAATAAAAACTAAATTATGAGCTGGGTTCCACTTCAAGGATGAGATACTAATAAAACATTTTCATATTTACAAGATTTTAAAGATTTGTCTTCTGGTGTCAATTTTATGTATAAGAAGAGATATATCTGAACACCTTCCCACATGAATTACATTCATTGGGTTTCTTTCCAATGTGAGTTTTCACATGTCTTTGAAAATACGAGGAAAGAAACTAAGGGATTTTCCACATTCTTTACAGTCGTATCTCCCAGTATGAGTTCTCACTTGCTGACTAAGGCATGAAAAAGACTTGAAAGTTTTCTCACATTCTAGGCATTTATTTTTTTTCAGTATGTGTTCTCACATGTTTTCTAAAGTGTGAGGGATTACACTTTCCTACGTTTCTTCCACTTGCATGGTTCCTCTTTAATGTGAATTTTACCTCAATTTGAAAAAATTAGACCCAAGATAAGATTTTCCTACACTCCTTATACTAATAGAGTTTCTCTCCAGTGTGAGTTCTCACACTGTTTTGTAAGGGATGAGGAATAGCTGAAGATATTTCTGCATTTCATACATTCAGTGTGTTTACTAGTCAGGGTTCTCCAGAGAAACAGAACCATTAGAAGATAGATAGATGGATAGATAGAGAGAATTTATTATGAGAATCAGCTCACATGATTATGGAGGCTGAGAAGTCCCATAATATGCCATCTGCTAACTGGAGAACCAGGGAAGCTGGTGGCATAGCTCAGTCCAAGTCTGAAGGCCCAAGAACCTGGAGGGCCACTAGTATAAGTCCCAAAGACCAGAGAACCTGGACTTCTTATATCCAAGGGCAAGAAAAGGTGGGTGTATCAGGACCAGAAGGGAGAGCAAATTCACCTTTCCTATCCCCTTTTGTTCTATCTAGGCCCTCGATTGATTAAATGGTGCCCAGCCACGCTGGATGAGGCCTGATCTTCCTTACTCAACCTACGGATTCCAATGTCAATCTGTTCTGGACTACCCTCACAGATATATCCAAAATTAATGCTTTACCAGGTACCTGAGTATCCTTAACCCAGTCAAATTGACCCATAAAGTTAACCATCACACAGTGTTTCTCCAATGTGTATTATCACATGAGTGGTAAAATATGAAGAATAAATGAAGGATTTTTCATATTGTTTACAATTATAGAGGCTGTCTTCGGTGTTTGTTCTCACATTTCTATTGAAAGAAGAGGGCAAACTGTATACTTGCCCATCTTTCTTACATGCATAAAGTTCCTTTTTGGTTTATTTTCATTTGAACAGGAAGTTTTGAGGAATAAATGAAGGCTTTTCTTCATTCTCTATATTGATAAATCCTCTCTCCAACGTTAGTTCTTACATGTACAGCAAGAGATCTGGAAGAAATCAAGCCTATCTCACATTCTTTTATATCCATAGGGTAAATTACAATATGAGTTATCACATATGCCCTAAAGGATTAGGGGCAACTCAAGGTTTTTCTACATTTTTATGTTAATAAGATTTCTCTTCAGTGAGAGTTTTCACATGTTTTCTAAAAGATTAAAGAAAATTGAAAGCTTTTTCACATTTCTTATACTCATAAGGCTTATCTCCACTGTCTACTGTGAGTTCATTTTTTTTTTTTTTTTTTTTTGTGAGACGGAGTCTCGCTCTGTCACCCAGGCTGGAGTGCAGTGGCATGATCCTGGCTCACTACAACCTCTACCTCCTGGGTTCAAGCAATTCTCCTGTCTCAGCCTCCTGAGTAGCTGGGATTACAGGTGCACGTCACCACACCTGGCTAATTTTTGTATTTTTAGTAGAGATGGGGTTTCACCATATTGGTAAGGCTGGTCTTGAACTCCTAACCTCAGGTGATCTACCCGCCTTGGCCTCCCAAAGTGCTGGAATTACAGGCATGAGCCACCGTGCCCAGCCCACTGTGAGTTCTTACATGTACATCAATAAATGAAGAATGAACAAAGGCTTGCTTACATGTCTATTCATAGAATTCTTCTCCAGTGTGAAATTTTTCATGATTCCTAAAATACAAGGAACACATAAAGGATTCCCTCTATTCCTTACTTTGATAGGGTATGTGTTCAGTGTGTGATGCCATGTGTGTTTTTAACAAGTGAAAGATCAGTGAAGACTTTCTTGCATTCACTGAATTCACATAATTTCCCTGCAGCATGAGTTCTCTAGTGCACATTTAGATTTGAAATCTGGCTGAGATCTTTTCATGTTTATTACTCTCATTATATTTGTATCCAATTTGGAGTATTTTCTACAGAGTAGACATCAAGATCTTTTTGAGAGATTTTCAAATTTGATTATATTCATAGAGGTTTTCCACCATATGAATTCTCAAATATATGTCCTGTGTCTTGTGCTGATCCATCTATGTCATGGCAAAAGAATGAGGATTGCATAATTGGAGGTTTTTTATATTGTAACTTAAGTAGTATAATACTAATTGAAGGTAGACCATGATAAGAAAAGGCAGTATATTGTCATCCTTAGAAGAAATACTCCTGAAACTGTTGTAGCTAAAAATTCAAATAAGGATATAAAATGGAATATGAAAAATATTTAATCAAGTCAAAAGAAAACAGAAAATGAGGAACAAAGGATTTCAAAGGAAAACAGAAAATGGGGAACATAGGAATGAAAATGGAGGGTATGAATAAAATTGCAATAGAGACAATCATGTTATAAATAATTACATTACATATAAATGGAATAAACTCTCCAATTAAAAAGCAAACATATTAACACTGGATAAAATGCAAGATTTAATGCTATGTTGTTTTAAAAAGATGCTTTTTAAATATAAATACAGGTTGAAAGTAAAGAATGAAAAAATATATCATGCAAACCTTAAGCATAAGACATGTAGACTGACTATATTAATATCAGACAGAGTAACTAGAGACTAAATGAGACATTTTATAATAATGAGCGTCAGTTCATCAAGCAGCTATCCATTGTGCATGTAATAACAGAGCTTTAAAGTACATGAGATTAACAAATGATAGAACTGAAAATAAATAAAAAATTCACAACAAACATGCTGGAGAGGATGTGGAGAAAAAGGAACACTTTTACACTGTTAGTGGGAGTATAAACTAGTTCAACCATTGTGGAAGACAGTGTGGCTACTCCTCAAGGATCTAGAACTAGAAATACCATTTGACCCAGCGATCCCATTACTGGGCATATACCCAAAGGATTATAAATCATGCTACTATAAAGACACATGTATGTTTATTGCAGCACTATTTACAATAGCAAAAACTTGGAACCAACCCAAATGTCCATCAGTGATAGACTGGATTAAGAAAATGTGGCACATATACCCCATGGAAGACTATGCAGCCATAAAAAAGGATGAGTTCATGTCCTTTGCAGGGACATGGATGCAGCTGGAAACCATCAATCTGAGCAAACTATCACCAGGACAGAAAACCAAACACCGCATATTGTCACTCATAGGTGGGAATTGAACAATGAGAACACTTGGACACAGGGTGGGGAACATCACACACAGGGGCCTGTCATGGGGTGGGGGGCAGGGTGGGCATTGGGAGAAATATCTAATGTAAATGACGAGCTAATGGGTGTAGCAAACCAACATGGCACATGTATACCTATGTAACAAACTTGCATGTTGTGCACATGTACCCTATAACTTAAAGTATAATTAAAAAATAAAAACTCACAATCACAGGTGAAGAATTTAACACTCTTCTCCTAATAACTGGCAGAACATGTAGAAACAATGTTAAGAATAAAGAAGATCTAAAAACATTATCAAGTGACTTGATTTAATTGATATTTACAGAATACTCAACCAACAACTGTAGGTTACACATTTCTTTCAAGTACACATGGGGAACTCACCATGGTAACTTACATGCTGAATAATTTTTAATGACTTCATAAATCTCAAAGGGTTGAAATTTTACAGAGTATGCTCCAAGACCAAAAAATAATTATTTTGGAAATCAAAAATGTTACCTTTGGATAGTTGGAAATTAAGCAACACGATTATAGTCAAGCAATGGATCAAAGAAGAATAGTACAAACTGAATGGCAATAAAAACACAAACTAGTCAAGTTCATGAAATGCAACTTAAGTAATATACAGGAAGAAATTTATAACTTCATATTTTTATATATTTTCAAGTGTGTTAGAAAAGAAAGGCTTAGAATCAATGATCTGAGCTTTCAGAGAAGCTAGAAAAAGAGAAAACTAAACTCAAAATACATAGAATAAAAGAAATAAAAACAGAATAGCAGAAATCAATAAAATAGGAAACAAAAAGGAGTCTAGAAAAGGTAGCTCACACGTGTAATCCCAGCATTTTTGAAGGTTGAGGTGGGAGGATTGCTTAAGCTCAGAAGTTTGAGGCCAACTTAGGCAACATAGTGAGGCACTGTCTCTACAAAAATAAAAATAAAAATAATTAGCTGGATTTGATGGCATGCACCTGTAGTCCTAGCTGTTCACGAGGTTGAGGCAGGAGGATCTCTCTTTCTCTCTTTTGTGTGTGTGTGTGTGTGAGTGATGGAATTTTGCTGTTTCGCACAGGCTGGAGTGAAGTGGCGCGATCTTGGCTTACTGCAACCTCTGACCCCCGGGGTTCAAGCGATTCTCCTGCCTCAGCCTCCCTAGTAGCTGGGATTACAGGTGCCCGCCACCATGCCTGGCTAATTTTTGTAGAGATGGAGTTTCACCATGTTTGCCAGGCTGGTCTCAAACTCCTGACCTCAGGTAATCCATCTGCCTGGGCCTCCCAAAGTGCTAGGATTACAGGTGTGAGCCACCATGCCTAGCCTTAGGAGGGTCTCTTGAGGCTAGCAGTTTGATGTCACAGTGAGCTATATCGCATCACTGCACTCCAGCCTTTTTTTCTCTGAGAAAAGGAAGAAAACAGAAAGTAATAGGAAAAGTAGTGAAACCAATGATTGTCTTGTTTTTCAAAATTAACAAAATTGGTACATTGACAGAAATACCAATAAAGACAAAAAGAGGGAAAACATAAATTACCAATATCCATAGTGAAAGGGGGAGGGCCTCACTGCAGATTCTAAATATATTGAAAGATGAGAAAGAAATAGTATCAATAGCTTCATGAAAATAACTTCAACATCTTTGATAAAATAGACAAATTTGCTTAAAAAACACAAGCTGCCAGCTGCCGACAGAAGAGGAAACAGAAAATTAGAATTGCAGCATATTTATTTAAGAAATTGAGTGTGCAATTCAAAATCTTCCCACAAAGAAAATGTCATTCATGGTTGGGTTCTGCAGTAAATTCTATCAAATACATAAAGTAGAAATAATAACTATCTTACATAAACTCTTTCATAAAAGAAGAAGTGGAGGAAACAATTGGCAAGTCATTTGATGAGACCAGGAGAACCCTGAAACTAAATCCTGACAAGGGTATTACAAGAAAAAAAATTGTAGATCAACATCTCTCATGAATATAGATGCACAAATTCTCAACAAAATTAGCACACTGACTTGGCTGCATGTCACCTGGAAGAAAAACTTACAAACAATTTTCCTAGACAATCATGATCACACAGGTGCTGTTCCATTCCCACTCTGCATGACTCCAGCTCATGAGATCTGCTTGGATGTCTTTGGATTCTTCCATCATTGCCCCTGCCACTCCATATTTGGAATAGGACTTGCTTCAGATTTCTTTGCTTGAATTCCAATTGTAGCCATCACTGTTACCATAGTAACATTTGAACTTGCAAGTTGGAAACAACGAACAACTGGGACAAGGGCAAAGCAAGTAACTCAGATGCAAATTTTAAGTCATTATCCCAAAACTTGGAGATAAATACTATTTGTTACAATATTGTAAAAATTAAAATTTAATGTAAACACCCATGAGAAACAAAATATGAAATTTTAAGTGAGGACAGGAACCACCCTGCCCTTGCACACATTTGCCACACTGACCTCACCCTCATCCTGTCAGATCCTATTGTCAACTTTATTGTTTCCTGATCTCACTGGGGGAAAATTTACCATGTCTACTTCACAGCTCCTTCTCCTAGGCTACTCCTTCAAGGCCAAAAAGGTCACGAAAATTCTAAATTCAATAATGTTGGGATTGTTCCATTTGCAAGAAATAACTTCCTTTCATTTGAAAATATAAACTCTTCTACAATACATTGCTAACACCAACTTTATTAAATACATTCATAGATTAAAGAAAAAATCTTAATGTGGAAAAGTTTTGGAAAAGCAATGTTATTCTGGTATTTATCTCTGCATTTTATTGCCACTGTCTACTAAAGCCACCCACCAGAGACACACACATATACAGGCACAAATGCACACACACAAATACACAAACCACTATGGGGTTTTGTGTATTTGTAGCTATAGATTTCTAAAATTGTTTGAGGCATCATCATTTATGTATCATGATAGATTTTTCTCGACTTTTTGGTGACTATGCTGATAAATGGAAGTAATGCTCTTCTCAAGGTATTCCAGATCAGTCTAAGAAAGACAAAATTATTAATCCTTTAGAGATGCCTTTAAATTCTAGACTTTACCCATAAAACATTTGTAAATTAAGATACAAAGGAAGTAGTACACATTCGGATCTCTGGGCCTGTTTCAAAACATGCATTTCTATATGTAAGAAGTTTGTCAGGAATTAATCAAATATGTTTTTTGGAAAAGGTAAGAGAAAGACCAAATCTAAAAGTAGTAGTAATGAGCTTTCTTCTCTCATTTGGTATACAACTTAATATTATCTTGAAAATGACCATCATTGCCACAAGTGACAGGGACTACTAATGATTGGGTACTAATGGTAATAACCTAGAGGAAATGGCATTTGCTGTTCTCCAGCCATTAATATTCATAATGGGGGCTGTAAATATGGTGCCAACTTCTGAAAGTCCTAGAATTCACGAGAATTTTTAATTTTTTTATGACTATGCTGATAACCAGAAGTAATGCAGTTATCAAAAGCCCCAGTCAGTTAGATAATGATTACTGCAGTCAGAAACATAGAAAGGTCAAGAACAAATTCATGTATTTAAGTCATTTTGCTATTACATCTCTTCCTTTGACATATCATTAAGGGGGCATCTAGGTGTGTAAGAAAAAATCCACTTAAAAAGATGCTAATAGCTACTGTGCTAGCTAAAATGAATGTTCTGCAGAAAATTTTGATGAAGAAATAGATGTCACAGGCCTCACTGATTTTAATTCCCATTTTAAGAGGAACCACCCTCAATTGCCACCACTCCAGATAGTCTACTTTGCCCTTCCTACTGGGCATCAGTTTTCTTTAGTGAGCTGAGCAGTATACTGAAATTCAGCATCAATGTTGAGTTGCCATTGTCACCTATGACCATTCCACAGACAAATGCCTGGATGTTCAAAGTAATTGAGCTGCCATCTATCTGTTGCCCTGATTGTGAAGTAAAATTTCTTTAATATTTGCAGACACATAAAATACAAGAATTATGAAGAAAATGTTCACTGTGATTCCCTTAATTTCTAATCATTGGTGTTGGTGAATACTGACACATGCAGATATGTGTTTGCCTCCCCTTTTCCAGGGAGTGCATATATCTCCACCCCATTGGACTCTTGTAAAACAAATGGGAGCAGTCATATTATTAAACCAAAAAACACAAATCTCCTGCTTCCTAGCCCTAGTTTGGAATTGATATCAGCCCACCAGTATTTCCAAACTTGGTACCAGAAAAGGCATGAGTCAACTTATAATAGTTATAAAATAACTTTTAGGCTCTTGAAATATAAGCGCATTTTTCTCCATGTAAAGGAAGCTGGTCTGCAGTAAAAGGGAATGAAACCAGCAGGATAGAAAAAATGGTCAAGTCCTTGTTTCTAATTGTTATGGCCCTACCTTTCAATCAGTTTTATTTCCAAACATATCCTAAATTACTTTATATACCCTAATATCTTCTCAATAAATTCTGTATTTTATCTTGAGAGCTAATTTGAATTGGGTTTCTGTTGATTAATACTAAAAGAATTTAGACTAACAGAAGTATTAATTTGGCAAAAGATCTTCCTGGTTAGTACATTTTCTGTTACTATGAATTATGAATTTCTAAAAGTCATTTTCAATGCAGAATATAAGAGATATGTAGAAGAGCATACACTTTTCAAACATGATTCTGAATGTTGATGGCAGTAGTGACAATTTGAGGAGTAACATGTAGGGACAGGCTAGTTGAGTGACACAAGATTCCTTCAAGGAGCATGCTCAGGAATATCTTTAACCTCCATTCTTTGGATCTGGAAAATGTGGAATGCCTGACTTCCCTGGCATGGATCAGACTTTTAACAATGATCAGATGAAAATTTCTGGTCAGAAAGAGAACTTGGAACAGAATTTGGTCAAAGTATTTCATATGCCTTTTTATTTCATGTCAAATGTAATATCCAAACAATGTTGAGGTATTTCCAGAACTGCCTATTTGGACATTTAAAATCTTTTGAATATTCTTAGTTCTTGGCCCGCTCATTCACATTTGAGAGCACATGACACAAGAGGGTTCCCATAGCCTCCCACAGGTAAAACTTCTGCAGTGACTTCCAGGCTACTGATTCAGCAATAGAGACAATATTCTGATTTTTTTTTATTACATTTCCCAGGATAAAGCCTGCAGGGTTTTGCCCAGATTACATTTCTGTTCATGGAGTATTCCAGTGAGGCCTCTATCTGAGTTAGATTTTCATTAAACATCACCAAAGTGAACTCTCATTGAATGCTATTTGGCTTTGCTTGGGAAAAAAGACACAAGCCTCTCCCTTAATAGATTGGAAATACGTATGAAATGAGCTTGCTATATTAGAGCCTATATTCTATCGATTTTACAGGAAAGGAATCCATTTTTACAGGAATAGGCATTGGATTAACAAAAAATATTCATTATGTTTATGTTTCCTTTGTTCTTTTGTGAAGAAAATACATCATCACAGTGTTTATCTAAGATTATAAAACCCTTAGGGGATTATCCCAAAGATAACTCATAACACTCCATTACGACTTCAAAATATCCAGAGAGACCTCTGCTAGTACCACCAAGCTTTCAACTTTTAAGGAAATCTTTTCTAAAAATTCAGCCATCAGCCAAAAGGGATAATTTTATATACATTTAAATAGTCATATTAACTAAATTGTCTAAAATTATACATAATTTCCATGTTTACAGTAATCAAACTAGAAATAGAAGTTCCATGTTGCTCTTTTAAGTAGTGGTTTGGAGGATAGTGAAGAGACACTGCAGCTTATTTTTATTATACCAAAAATATAGCTAATGGGTTTCTCAGAAAACTGTTGCTCCCATTTAAATTCATTTGTGGAAGAAATTAAAATTCTTCTCCACTTTCCAATTGTTGGAATAAGGTAGCTCCCACCTTGTGAATGCTGTCATATGACCACAACTACCTATGTATTCCAATTGCCATTTAGGAAGAAAATAAAAGCAAGGAAGGGAAATAAAGCAAGACGGTCAATGGCCTTAGATTAACATCATAAAAGGCAAGGTGAGACTTACAGAAATCTCAAAAGAAGTCTACAAAATCTGAAAGAGAAAATAGGTAAAATGAATGGCTCTGTTTATGTTGATGAGAGTCTCTATTCTGCTAGTTTCCAAAAAACTTATTTCACTGTCCTTAATTTTTTTATTCACTAAGAAACAATGAATTGTCACTCATGTTCAAAATTGTTCTAGGTGCTATGCATGACATAGAGGAGAATTGGAACTTATCCTTCAAATAGCCATAATCCACAAAAACACATGGACTGCTGATCTGCTTATGAATATTTTCAGGATCCATATTTAGTCAATTTTACTAAGTAAAATTTTTAGCCTTGCTACTTATTGCCTGTGATGGGGGCAGGGTATTCTGGATTGCTGCATAAACATCTTAGTCATCTTGCTCAGGATACCGTTAAGTCCAGATGTAAAAGCGTGCCTCGCATTTATCCGTTCACTTTCTGATTCTGTTCTCCAAAGTCAGCTTTTGAAGATGCTACTAGCCAGGAATATTTCTTGAAAATTCAGTTATTTGCATATGTTTGCCAGTTGTGAGATGATTGAATGATGGCATAAATTTAATTGCAGTAGTTCAGAGTACTGTCCCTTGATAACACCCCAGGGAAAACAATATGACTGATTCAAGACAGGCAAGGCCCCAAATTAGGGCTTATCCCAGGAGGCCTTTTGGCTTTACACATAAAAGAATTCAAGGGCAATCAGGTGTTATTAGACAGCAATCTTTTATTAAAAGGGACTGCTCCTTGCTGAGCAGGACTAACTATTTTGCAGTGCACCCAGAGTTGGCAGTAGCAGCTTATGGGTTGTTGGCAACTGTATTTATACTCACTTATACCTATTTTCACTTACATGCAAATTAAGAGGTGAGTTAATGCAAATTGAGGAGCTGGTTATTCAGAACTTTCTAGAAAAAGGGACAGTAACTTCCAGGTTGTTGCCATGGAAAAGGGCAGTAACTTCTGGGTTGCCATGACATTTGTAAATTGTCATGGGGCTGGTGGGAATCTCTTATGCTAATGAGCAGTAAGGGCAATTAGAGGTTGCCTTCAACACCAGCTGCTACTTCCTGCAGGGTTTTTCACTTCAGTTGTGCACCACCTGCTGGTTCCTGTCAATTTCTTCATTTTGTCCTGTTCTGATAGGGGAATAAGTCCTGCTGATCTCCTACCTCATTACTTCTCTGACAAATGCCTCATACATTTTAAGTAGACAACTTGGAACCTAGTCTGGCAACTGTGTAAAAAAGTAAAAGTAAAAAAAAAAAAATCACCTGCACCAATGAATGTGGCAATACATCCAGGGAAACTCCTGCTTTCAAGGCTTGGGACTAATCCTCTGTGTTTTGAGAGCTGTACTCTCTGGACTTCAGGCTCCATCCTCTGATGCATCCTTCCTTTTTCATTGGAATTGGCACATGTTTTTAGCTAAGCAGTTTTATCAGTCTATTTCTAGCTTACAGAGTTTGGGGAGGGGGGTACCACATCCTCCTTTAATTAGTTCTCTCTATCCCTTTCAATTCAAGCTGGCAGTGTTTCTGCTGATTAAACATTCTCAATAACCTTATTTCCTGTGCATTTCACAGGGATTCAATTTATTAAACAAGAGACTCCTTCGAAGTTATTTCCTGAGTAATTATGTCTATATTCCTGGCTTCTGCTGATGTGGCTGAAGATATCCATGTCATGTACCTAGTCTCTTCAAAGAGCCTTCTGTATGATTGACTACCTGATTCTTTCAACGCACTAGTAAAAGGTTGTCCTGATATGTCTGTGGCTTTCTCTCCAAAACATGCATCCTTAGCAGTGAATCTCCTGATCTTAACATCTGTTGCAGTCTGAATAGGGTGAGAATTTCCCCAACCATCAAGTCTGGGTTCCTTTTTGCTTCACAGTTCTTCTCTCAATCTAATTCCTCTCATTCTTTTCCCTCTCACATTTTACTATAAGCAGCAAGAAAAAAACAGGCTGTACATTTAACCCTTTGCCTGAAAATCTCAGTGAAATCTCCCAAGTTCATTGCTTAAAAATTCTTTCTACATAACTACAGGACACAATTCAGCTAATTTTTCTTCCACCATATAAAAGGATTCCCTTTTCTTCAGTTTCCAATAATATTTTCCTCATTTCTGCACCCTCACCAGCAGAGACTTTAACATCCATATTTCTACTCACAATCTATTTAAAGTGATGTGGTATTCTCTAAGGCAACATGTTTCTCCAACATGCTCCTCACTTCATTCTGAGTCCTTACTAGCAGATTTGTTAACACCATATTTCTGCTAACACTCTGTCCAAAGCAAGCGAGGCTTTTTCTGTCATGCCTGTCAAAGTTCTTCCAGCCTCTGCCCACTGTCCAATTCAGAAGCCATCTGCACATTTTAAGTGTTTATTACAGTAGCACCCCACTTCCAGGTATCAAAATCTGTGTTAGTTGGAGTTCAGCCAGAGAAACAGGCAGCAGATGTGTAGTAATCAATTTATTGCAAGGAAGTGACTTACTCAGTTTTGAAACGTGGCTGGACAAGTCCAAAATCTGTACAGCAGGCAGTTAGGAGGGGCAGGCTGGAATTCTGGGGCATAAGCTGAAGCTGCTGTCCTTAAACAAAATTTATTTTCATCTCACGGAAGACTCAACTCTGCTTTTATGGCCTTTCCACTGATTGAAATAGACCCACCCAGATTATCTAGGAGAGTCTCCCTATTTTAAGTTTAGCTGATTGGCAACCTTAATTCTGTTTGAACCTTAATTTCTTTGCAATATAACATATTCATAGGTTCTGGGGATTAGGGCAGGAACATCTTGGCGGTCATTATTTTGCATGCAATACCATTCTAGAGTATCTGCAAAGTTGAGAAGCTCCTGGAGACAGAAAAGTCCTGACAAGAGAGCAGATGTTTTTTCCTCAAATAATTCAACTCCTTCACCAACATATCCTTTAATAAATTTTGTTTGGTTAACTAATATTAATTCTACAATGTATTTTCTTTCAAATTCCTTATGAATCAGAACAATGTTGCCATCCAAAACAAGTAGATGTTGGCATACTGTACCATCAGAAGCTCCTCTAAGCCCAGAATTTGGAACTCGTTAAGATTTTCCTGCTGTGAAAAGAGGAAATTGCAGGAGATGCATTACTTGGTCCTAGTGTCTATTGGCCTTATACGAACACCTTAAACACAGTAAATCTGGGTATTAGAAAGCCTGTCCAGTCCCCCCAATAGGATCATAACATTAGATAGAGATAAGGAAGAACCCATTAGTCTTTTCTATGTTAATTTACATGAGACAGAATACATTACGCAGATATATTTTTATGAGATGACATATGTGTTTTAGAATGAAAATCTAATGCTTACAAGTGTGACCTTGAAAAGAGTAGCTTAAACTTATCCATGTTGCTCCTTATTGGAAAAAACAAAACTCCAAATATGAAGCTTGGAAGAAATTACACATGGATAAATATGAAATGATTACACCCCAAACTTTTGTCAAAAAGTCAAGCTGTGTGAATAAGAAAAACTATAAAAAAAACTTAAAATATGACTTCAAAAATCATACATTCTTATGTAGTGTCATATAGTGTGAAAGGTAATTTCAGAATTAGAGTTATGTTTATTAGGTGGGGTTAACTTTCATATCACCCTTCAGGAATGAATACTATTAATTTATTCAGAAATATGAACTTTCCTGATATAAAATATTTATAATAATACAATAATTTGAAAACTAACAATCAGACAAAGGAAATGAGTAACATTACTAAAGACAACAGTAGAAATTTAAAAAAAAGTAGAATTCAAGATTACTAAAGGGTTAAAAAAAACTAAGGTGAAAAGTGAGGAAGACAAAATTAACAGACGGTCGGAAAGCTACAGATACCTACATTATTCTAGAAATTCTGATTTCCTCCTAGAGTCCTGGCTTACAATATTTGGGAATATAGGCTTCAAGAACTTGAAATCATTACTTTCAGAGCCTCCCGTCAGACACACCTCGTACTGGTAGCTCTGGGAAAGGGTCCCGGTGCCGCTCACGTCCACCAGATGCCCTGGAAAGGGGCCCTCGGGCACCGAGCAGCGACCCACTGAGGCCGCCCTGCTCCTCCTGCACAGCCGCACTGCCACGAACAGGAACACCGAGAAGAGGAAGAGCGAAGACACCGAGGCCAATGCCACCACCAGGTAGACGGTAAGCGAGTCGGCCTGGGCTTGGGCCGGGGCCGCCTCTGGGAGCGGCAGGTAGGGCTGAGAGAAGCCGTCCACCAGGAGCACTTGCAGCGTGGCGGTGGCCGAGCGCGGAGGCTCGCCATTGTCCTTGACCAGCACCACTAGCCTGTGCTTGGCCACGTCGCGCTCGCTCAGCAGCCTGGCGGTGCGCACCTCGCCATTGTGCGCCCACACGCCGAACAGCCCGGGCTCCGTGGCCTTGAGCAGCTGGTACGACAGCCAGGCGTTCTGGCCCGAGTCGCCGTCCACCGCCACCACCTTGGTCACCAGGTAGCCCGGCTCGGCCGCCCGGGGCACCAGCTCGGTGCAGGGCGCGGAGCCGTTCTGCAGCGGGTACAGCACGAAGGGCGAGTTGTCGTTGGCGTCCAGCACCAGCACTCGCACCAGCGCCTCGCTGCTCAGCGCCGGGAAGCCGCGGTCTGTGGCGCCCACGCGGAACTCGAAAGCCTGCAGGGCCTCGTAGTCCAGCGACTGGAGAGCGAACAGGTGGCCGTTGTCCGTGTTAATGGAGACCAGGGAGGTGAGGGGCAGGTGCGGGTCCCGGGGCGGCAGCAGCGAGTAGGTGACCTGGGCGTTGGTGCCCGAGTCTCTGTCTGTGGCGCTGACACTGCCGATGTGCAGGGCGGGGCTGTTGTTCTCGCGGACGAACAGGGTGTAGGAGGTTTGGGTGAAGGCGGGGGCGTTGTCATTGACGTCCGACACCAGCACGGTTATGCTCTGCTCGGTTTTCAGCCTTGGAGTCCCCAAGTCTGTGATGGTGATGGTGATGTTGTACTCGGCTCTGGTCTCTCTGTCCAGCGCCCCTTCTGTTACCAGCCTGTAGAAATTCTCAACAGAAGGTTTTAGCTTAAAAGGAACATCATCCTGAATTGAGCAAATCATTTTTCCATTTTCCCCAGAGTCTCGGTCTCTAATCCTAAACAGGGCCACTTCTGTCTCTGGAGAATTCTCGGGAATAGGGCTGGTAAGTGATGAAATACTTAGTTCCGGGAAGTTATCGTTAACATCCAGCACCTTAACAGAGACAGAGCATTTTCCAGAAAGTCCCCCGCCATCAGATGCCTCTATATCTAGATCATACGAAGACATTGTCTCAAAATCTAGTTTTTTAATTAGTCGAATTTCTCCTGAAAGGCTGCTTAGCTCAAAAGGTTTGTCTATCTCCTGAGAGCTGTAATAAAGGGAGTATGATATCTCTCCATTTGTCCCAGTGTCTAAATCCCTAGCAGAGACCTTGACAACTAGGGAGCCTACTGGGCTGTTCTCTGGGACCTGCACCTCGTAGAGCGCCTGCACAAACTCCGGGGCATTGTCATTGGCGTCCAAGACCAAGATGAGGATCTGGACGGTGCCAGATCGGGGTGGAGAGCCACCGTCCACCGCTGTCAAGGTTAATCTGAGCTCGGCCTGCTCCTCGCGATCCAGTTCTGTGTCCAGCACCAGCTCTGGGTATTTCCTGCCATCCCCTCGGGTGCGAGTGGAAACATGGAAATGAGAATTGGGAGAAATATTGTAGTTTTGAACATTATTGCTGCCCACGTCCAAGTCCCGAGCTTTTTTCAGAGGAAACACAGTCCCAAGGGAGCTAGTTTCTGGGATTTTCAGGGTCATTTCTCTTTCAGGAAACTCAGGAGAATGATCGTTTATGTCTGTCACTAGTAGTTCAGCTCGAAATACTTCCAAAGGTTTTTTCAGTAACACTTGGAAATGCATTATACAGGGCTCAGTAGGGCCACACAGCTTCTCCCGGTCCAGCTTCTCATTTAATATCAACTGCCCGGTCTGCAGATCAAGCTGCAAGCCTTGTTCGTTATCCTCAGAAACTACCCGGGCTCCCCGCTCGGCTAGCTCCCCCACTCCCAGCCCTAGGTCATTGGCCAGGTTGGCTACAAAAGAACCTCTCTCTGTTTCCTCCATCACAGAATAGCGACGGGGTTCCCAGCCTGCCAGAGTCACTTCCAGTAAAAGAAGGAGAATCAGGACTTGCCTTTGTTCGGGAAAGCGCTCCCCTGCAGGCTCCATCTTTACTTCTGTACACGCCCCTTTCAAGGAACCGGAGTCAGAGCTACTTCAGGGAGCGATGGGACAGAGGCAGTGATCGATCTGTGCGTTGATAACCTGTTCGGAAATGTAGGAGAATAGCATTCTCCGGAGACACTGGTCCGTGCTCTGCTAACAGGCTTTCCTCTTAGGCTGAAAGAGGTCTGAAGTAGCTAGTAGCATTTCATGGGCTTTTTCCTTTTCCTTTTTTTGAAGCCTTAGCCTGCAGCGCCACCATGCGTTGTCTTTGCTTCGAAACGAATTGCTACAATTGATCTATTCTCTATTCTATTAGGAGTTTGGAAATTGGGAGGAAATGATGTAATCACAATATCACGCAATGGTAATTATTAATTTCTTCATTTAAAGGAGTATTATTGGTCTCTATGTGCCAAATTATGAAATACATCAGTAAACAACCCAGACATGGTCCCCACCCTCCAGAGCCTGTAGTCTGGGTGTAGTGTTCTGAGGGAAATTGAGAAGTGAAAGAAGACATAATAGTGATCAGTCATCTTGTAATAATAATAACATAAAGCCACGTGATTTCTTAAAAATTTATCAGCAAAACAAAATGAATTCTTTAATTTCTTTCAAATTCTAGACAGCCTATGTACCAGAATTGTGCTCCCATTGGTTGGATTACATCAAGAAAAAGCTACACGTTAATTCCAGTGTGGTATCCTTTCTACATAAAGTCAGAGAGTTATGATTTTATGAAAATTTTAAACTGTGGAAAAATACATATGAAGGCACTTCCTATATCTCTTACTTTGCTTTTTCTTTTTTTTCTTTTCATTTTTCCTTTTTTTTTTTTTGAGATGGGGTCTTGCTCTGTTGTCCAGGAGGGAGTGCAGTGGCACAATCACTGCTCATTGCAGCCTTGACTACCCAGGCTCAAGCAATCCCCCCACCTCAGCAACTGTAGCTGGGACCACAGTTGCGCATCACCATGCCTGGCTAATGTTTTAATTATTTGTAAAGATGAGGTCTTGCTATGTTGCCCGGGCTGGTCTCAAATTTCCGAGCTCAAGCAATCCTCCTGCCTCAGCCTCCCAAAGTGCTGGGGTTATAGGCATGAGCTGCTGTACCCAGCCCTGCCTTGTCTCTCTCGTATTTATTATCTGACGTAGTATAGATGTACTTATTTAGTTGTTTCCTTTCTGTTTCAACCTCACATGTTAGAACTTCATTTTGTTCACTGCTGCATCCCCAATATCTAAAATAATCCCTGGCACATGGTACGTGCTCAATAAATATTTGTTAAATGGATCCATTAATAAATCACAATTAATTTAAACATTCTGACAGATAGGTTCTCCTCCTACTGTAGAAATTCCCTCTTCTTCTGGGATTCAAGTTCATTATATAAGATGGATAAACAAAGACAACATGTTCATAAGGTAGCTATTTCCTATGCCCTTTAAATAGTAATGTGAAATAACTCAGAATGACCTAAAATGTCATTTCATTAAGTGGCAAAACAACTTAGCTACCCATAAGCAAGGGATATATTATATGACAGAAAGAAAGAACATAACAAGATTATGATGACCCTAAAGATAAGGATTATGTCTCTTTTAGACACACATTTTTCATTGTCAAGGTTTTTTTTTTACAGTAATGTTATTATGACACTTACGATATTCAAAACTCTTATATAATAAAATGTTCTAAGAATTTCTATTAAACACTTCAAAGACTGTACCATTGGAAAGATCCTTCAGTTTTTCTCAAAATTGTATATTCTGACAAAAGCTAGTGCATGTCCCTTATAGACTACTAATATTTTACAACCTCCTTGATCCCAAATGTTGTCATACTAATATGAAAAGCCACAATAAAAACCCAATAGGAAGAAAGGTCTAACTTACCAACAATGCAGGAATATCTAAACATGCTTTTGACAACAAAAACCTCACTTAGATCTCTTAATTAGAGGGAAATTTATTAAAGAGCACAAATTTGTCTCCAGCAACCTAAGGGAAAAAGACTTGGGAGGGACTGGAAAATCTAAAACAGGAAAATCTATGACAAGGTCATTCTTTTGGTACCTTATTTTTTCTTGTCTCTCAATAGATTGATGTTCTGTATTTCTTTGCAAGTGTTTAGCCAAATATGACACCACTTTCTGCTTATGTTCCTAACAAAGAGACTATGTTGTATCTGGTTCTTAAAGCCATTTTTTTTTAAACAGAGAGAATCAGATTAGGCCAGCTAGGATCATCTTATTTTTGTGTTTGAAATCACAGAGGGAGGTGGGTCATATAAAATAAATGTGGCTGCAACATTACACTTCAGCCAAAGACAGGGAGAATTTTCCAGAAAAAGATCAGGTGGGCTAGATAGACGCTACAAAAGGGAGCTATGATTTTAAAATCTTGAGATAATCTAATAATCACTAAAGATGCTCGTATGGCCGGGCAAGGTGGCTCACACCTGTAATGCCACACTTTGGGAGGCAGAGGCGAGTGTATCACCTGAGGTCAGGAGTTTGAGACCAGCCAAACTCCTGACCTCAGGAGCCAGTTTGAGTTTGGCCAACATGGTGAAACCCTATCTCTACTAAAACAAGGAGCCTGTAATCCCAGCTACTCGGGAGGCTGAGGCAGGAGAATCGCTTGAACCGGGGAGGCGAGGTTGCAGTGAGCCCAGATCGCGCCATTGCACTCCAGCCTGGGCGACAAGAGTGAAACTCTGACTCAATAATAGTAATAATAATGCTCATATATGTTATGGAGTGAAGGTTATAAAAAGAGCAGAAAAGTCTTTAAGTTTGGGGAAAAATGTAGTCTTTCCCACTTCAAGCTATTGTGAAATAAAACGATGCAATTTTTGCAGACGCTTCTCCATTTAAAAATTCAAGACAGGTAAGCATAAGACAGAATCAATAGAATATGTACTAATAATCACTATATCATCGTTCCTGTCTTCTAAGCATCAAAAGTTTAGAAAAGCTTTCTTTAATGAAACGGAATGGAGCTGGAGTCTTCAAGTCAACAGCCTGTGATTTTGAAAAGTTGATAAATTGAACAAATATTACTTTTCATTAATGAGTAAACCTGAAAGTTGTATTCATCAAAATGGACATGATAAAAGGAGACCAAGTATGAACAAATAATCAAAGAAAATGTCTAATCTTAAGTAGGAAAATGAAATCAGCAAAAATCTTAGAAAATCCATATAGCACAAAAAACATAACAGAGACTTAATATATTGATAAAGGACTAACCTTTATCCTAAATGCTCTGAAAAATCTACAGATTCTTAATTGAATCCAAAACCATTTACAAAGTTGGACTTTTCCTCCCATCATTCACAGCGCCCGGATGCTTAGGGATAACAGACTTCAGGAATTTGAATTCATTTGTCCCGGAGCCTCGCGTCAGAAACACTTCATACTTGTACCTCTGGGATAGGGTCCTGGTGTCGCTCACGTCCACCAGATGCCTGGAAAGGGGTCCTCGGGCACCGAGCAGCGACCCAATGAGGCCTCCCTGCTCCTCCTGCACAGCCGCACCGCCACGAACAGGAGCACCGAGAAGAGGAAGAACGACGACACCAAGGCCAACGCCACCACCAGGTAGACGGTGAGCAAGTCGGCCTGGGCCTGGGCCGGGGCCGCTTCAGGGAACGGCAAGTAGGGCAGGGAGAAGCCATCCACCAGGAGCACGTGCAGCGTGGCGGTGGCCGAGCGCGGAGGCTCGCCATTGTCCTTGACCAGGACCATCAGCCTGTGCTTGGCTGTGTCACGCTCGCTCAGCAGCCTGTCAGTGCATTGTGCGCCCACACGCCGAACAGCCCTGGCTCCGTGGCCTTGAGCAACTGCTACGACAGCCAGGCGTTCTGGCCCGAGTCACCGTCCACCGCCACCACCTTGGTCACCAGGTAGCCCGGCTCGGCGGCCCGCCCGGGGCATCAGCTCGGTGCAGGGCGCGGAGCCGTTCTGCAGCGGGAACAGCACGAAGAGTGAGCTGTCGTTGGCGTCCAGCACCAGCACGCGCACCAGCGCCTCGCTGCTCAGCGCCGTGGAGCCGCGGTCTGAAGCGCCCACGCGGAACTCGAACTCCTGCAGGGCCTCGTAGTCCAGCGACCTGAGGGCGAACAGGTGGCCGTTGTCTGTGTTGATGGAGACCAGGGAGGCGAGGGGCAGGTGCGGGTTCCGGGGCGGCAGCAGCGAGTAGGTGACCTGGATGTTGGTGCCCGAGTCTCTGCGGTGCTGACGCTGCCAATATGCAGGGCGGGGCTGTTGTTCTCGCGGACGAACAGGGTGTAGGAGGTTTAGGTGAAGGTGGGGGCTTTGTCATTGACGTAGGAGACCAGCACCGTTATGTTGTACTCGGTTTTCAGCCTAGGAGTCCCCAAGTCCGTGGCTGTGTTGGTGATGTTGTACTCGGCTCTAATCTCTTTGTCCAGTGGTCCTTCTGTTAACAGCCAGTATAAATTCTCAACGGAAGGTTTCGGCATGAACGGAACATCATTTTGAATTGATCAAACTATTCTTCCATTTTTCCCAGAATCGCGGTCTTGAATGCTGAAAAGAGCTGCAACGGTCTCAGGAGAATTTTCGCGGATGGGGCTTGTGAATGAAGCCATGGTCAGTTCCGGAGCGTTATCGTTGATATCTACCACCTGTATTATGACAGTGCATTTTCCAGAAAGACCTGCCCCATCAGAGGCTTTAATATCCACCTGATATGACACAATTTTTTCAAAATCTAGTTTTCTGATTATTTTAATTTCTCCCCTTCGTTCATTAAGTGCAAATGTCTTAGAAATCTCTTCATCACCATAAAAAATGAGTAGAATATCTCACCATTAATTCCCATGTCTGAATCTCTAGCGGAAACAGTGGCAACAAGGGAATCCAGGGGGCTGTTTTCTGATATCTGCACCTGATAGAGTGGCTACACAAACTCAGGTGCATTGTCATTGATGTCCAAGATTTCAATGAGGACCAGAGCAGTCCCAGTTCTGGGAGGAGTCCCGCCATCTACTGCCATGAGAGTTAACCTGATCTCAGCCTGCTCCTCCCGATCCAGGGCTTTGTCCAGAACCAGCTCTGGGTATTTTCTGCCTTCACTGCCATTTTGGGTGAGAGCGTGGACATGGGAGTAGGGGTAGATGGTGTAGTTTTGGATGTTATTGATGGCCACATCCAAATCTTGTGTATTTTTCAGAGGAAACACAGTTCCTGGAGGAGTATTTTCCATGATTTCAAAATAATTTCTGCTTCTGGGAATACAGGGGAATTGTGTTTATGTCACTGACCAAAAGTTTAAACCTCCAAAGGTTCTTCCAGTAACACTTGGAATTGCAGCACACAAGGCTCAGTGATTCTACACAATTCTTCCCGGTCCAATGTCTCATTTACTTGCAGGTCTCCGGTCTGAAGTTTCAGCTGAAAATATTTTTTGTTATTGTTAAAAATGACCCGAGGCCTCCACTGGTATATTACTCTTACTTCTAGCCCTGGGTCCTTTGTTAGATTGGCCACAAAAGAACCACTTTCTGTTTCTTCTGCTACAGTATATTCCACTCCGCACAGTATATTCCACTCCGCACAAGTCTGAGACAGCATAACAAAGAGAAGCAGCACTTGCCTTATTCTAGGAAAGTGCTCCTTTTCAGCCTCCATTTCTCCAACACCAACAGCATTCAGGGTCCGGATGCCTATGTTGCGTTGGTAGGCAATCTGCTCTGGGAATCAATCCTTGCAGCAACGCAATTTTCGGTTAAGAAAGCCTCTTCTCTTTGATGGATCGAATGAGTGCTAGCACAGTAGTTGAAGAGATTCATTCTAACATTTCAGGAGTGTAAACTTAAGTGATATACTAGCTAAATCTGGTTTATTATGCAAACTCAATAGGTAGCCTAAGAGTTGTGGATAACTTATTTGTGAATATTGCCTAAGGACTGTGAGCTTGTTATGTTGACTTGTTACAGTATCTAAAATAATTTATAAAGAGCATCACCATCTATTGTTAATACTGAGATACACACATGTTGAAGCTGAGAGTCACTGAGACCTTGAAGAGGGAGCCAGCCAAGATCATGGATATAAAGGCTGAAGTTAAAGTAAAAAGTAAAATGCAGAAGAAAATATGTTAAGTTCACCTGAAATAGCAGGTTAAGCATATTCCCAACTGGAGAAGATCTCAACTCATTTTTAGTAAGCAATTATGTATCTCTTGTGGATTCATTGGAATACTGAAACCCTAGCATGGAACTGAAATTTTTACTTCTGAGGAAAGAGAAAACATTTTGGGGGAGGAGACTTGGGGGTCTTCCCAACTGTGCCAACTTTAGCCAATGTTTTACTCACAATGTTTAAATAATAGACACTATTATGTGTTGTGGCATTCTAATTATCTAGCTAACTGAGAAAACTAAGGATGAGCCAAGTGTAAGAACTGTGGTTCATATTGGTTTCTCTTAAGGCATAAATAACTCAAATCAACATTCTACTTTAGAATGTTTTCTTCTATACAAACAAGTTCGATTAATTAAACTTTCAAAATATGCCAGTCATGGGCAAAATCTGATGGACAAATTTCCTTATAGAAATATTTTGGTCATGGGTCCAAATTCACTATTATGGATTTACATGTCCAAGAAAATGTGTCCTGAATGTCTATGCATTTTTTAATATTAATGGGATAGAAGCTTGTACCTATGTCAGTAACCCAATGAATCAAAGTTAGTTTTTCATTCCCATCTTTCATCTCTTGGAAAAAGTTTCCTCTTTCTAAGATCTTAGCTCCTAGGCTTGGAAGAAACTTAAATTTCTTTCGTGAGGCTTTCTAGCAATAGAGGATATTAATTAAATATTTATTACTATAACTGAAATCATGAATCAATCCATATGATCGATAAATTGGGATTATTTATGGAGCAAGAATATTTTACATTACATGACAAAAATAATTTTGTTCACACTGAGCTTAGCAAGTAATTTTTAAAAGAACGAGTCTGCTAAGGAGGGTATGATGATCCTGAGAAAAGGTACAGACACCCAAAACTTACAATTTCAGTGTTATTATTATTTTTTAAACAAAAAGTATTATTTAAAAAGTAATCATGGGACATATAAAATAATGGAGGTAAAGTTAATGAGACATTTCATAAAGCCCTTTGTAGCATTTATCTGTTGAAAGACCTCATAAATTATTTACAAATTTAAATTTTGTTACATAAGCCTCTAGTATAGATTTGTTATCTCTAGGCTTGTACATCCTGTATTTCATTCATTAAGTTAATATTAGAAGCATGCAATAAAAGACCAGGGTTTCATGGTAGATAGTCTAATTGAGTACTCAAGGTTGTACATACCTTTCAAGTCTCTTTTGATTTCAAGACATCCCCCTTCAAGATAGGTTAAACAAAGGAATTTTACTATTACCAATGGAGTCTTACTGTAGAACCCAAGGGCAATTAGACATTGGAGACTTAGGAGGAACTGTACTTAGGTGGACAGGTCTAGAACTAAGTAGCTGTTTTAGTCTCTACTGTTTTCTAGGCTTCTGCCTCCTCCACTCTTATTCCTTTTCACTTTTACTCTTTCCTTCCATTTTCTCTCCCTCTTTTTCTCTCTATCTAGAAACTTATAAACATGGCTACCTCAGCCCACGTTCAACACTTATTCAAGAGGAAAAAGTAGATGAACTATATCTCAATCACAAATTTAGGGGTTTGGAGAATGTAGCTATTCCAGCTTAAATCAGGAATCTATCACAGGACCAATAAAAAATGATCAGGGCTCATGCCTGTAATCCCAACAACTTGGGAAGCTGATGCGGTACGATCACTGGAGGCCAGGAGTTCAAGACTAGCCCGTGTGACATGGCAAGACCTCATCTCTTAAAAAACGAAAAAAACAAACGGTGTGTGTGTGTGTGTGTGTGTGTGTGTGTGTGTGTGTGTATGTAAGAAAAGAAGGCCTGCAATGGAATAAGCATCACACTAGTGATCACCTCTCTTAGGTAGTATAGAGAAGTTCTCAGACAAGAAATGAGCATGAGCTGGATATATACATCTTAATCCAAACAAGGTTTTGAATTTATTTAAATAAAACAACTTCTACTAGCATATATATGGTTCACAAATAATTATGGAAAAAAAACCCTAAGTACAGGAAAAATTCTCTGCAATGTTTGCCAGAAAAGTAGAATGAAAAGATTATAGGTTTTTAAGAAAGAAACCTAAATTAGATAACATCTCAGAAACCAACCTAACCAGATAACAAGCAATTATGTTTTTATTCATATCATGCATTTACCTCTATAATAATATTCTCAATTATATAAAAACTGCTTTGGATAGAGGATCCACAGTCAGAACACTCAGAAAATATGAATGAGCCCAGTGTGCGATTAAACTTGAAGGGAAAATAATGTGTTTGTGAATATATTATTTGAGGTTGTATTTCAAAACAATGACTAAGCAAATTCCGGCTCTCAATTTTTTCACGGTTAAAACAACAAAAAATAGACTTAAATTCTTGTAACTTCTGAAAACTCTTGAGTAAAATGCAGTTACCCAAAATGAAAAACTCTGCATAACAATGAATAAGATTTCAAAGAAATAGACTCATTCTAAAAGTTCTGCATCATAATCAGATCCCTAATTGCATTCCACGCCATTCAGAAAGGTGGGGCTTTCTCCATTTCGCTGTCGCGGGACAGGAGATTGGGAATCACCGGCTTCAGGAACTTGAACTCATTTGCCCCTGAGCCTCCCGTCAGACACACCTCGTACTGGTAGCTCTGGGATAGGGTCCCGGTGCCGCTCACGTCTACCAGATGCCCTGGAAAGGGACACTCGGGCACCGAGCAGCGACCCATCGAGGCCGCCCTGCTCCTCCTGCACAGCCGCACCGCCACGAACAGGAACACCGAGAAGAGGAAGAGCGACGACACCGAGGCCAACGCCACCACCAGGTAGACGGTGAGGGAGTCGGCCTGGGCCTGGGAGGGGGCAGCCTCCGTGAGAGGCAGGTAGGGCTGAGAGAAGCCCTCCACCAGGAGCACGTGCAGCGTGGCGGTGGCCGAGCGCGGAGGCTCGCCATTGTCCTTGACCAGCACCACCAGCCTGTGCTTGGCCGCGTCGCGCTCGCTCAGCAGCCTGGCGGTGCGCCCCTCGCCATTGTGCGCCCACACGCCGAACAGCCCGGGCTCCGTGGCCTTGAGCAGCTGGTACGACAGCCAGGCGTTCTGGCCCGAGTCGCCGTCCACCGCCACCACCTTGGTCACCAGGTAGCCCGGCTCGGCCGCCCGAGGTACCAGCTCGGTGCAGGGCGCCGAGCCGTTCTGCAGCGGGTACAGCACGAAGGGCGAGTTGTCGTTGGCGTCCAGCACCAGCACGCGCACCAGCACCTCGCTGCTCAGCGCCGGGGAGCCGTGGTCTGCGGCGCCCACGCGAAACCCGAACTCCTGCAGGGCCTCGTAGTCCAAAGACCTGAGGGCGAATAGGTGGCCGTTGTCCGCGTTGATGGAGACCAGGGAGGTGAGGGGCAGGTGCGGGTCCTGGGGCGGCAGCAGCGAGTAGGTGACCTGGGCGTTGGTGCCTGAGTCTCTGTCTGTAGCGCTGACGCTGCCGATGTGCAGGGCGGGGCTGTTGTTCTCGCGGACGAACAGGGTGTAGGAGGTTTGGGTGAAGATGGGGGCGTTGTCATTGACGTCGGAGACCAGCACGGTTATGTTGTGCTCGGTTTTCAGCCTGGGTGTCCCCAAGTCGGTCACGGTGATGGTGATGTTATATTCATTTCTGACCTCTCTGTCCAGTGGGTGCTCTGTTACCAGAGCGTAAAAATTCTTGAAGGTAGGCTTCAAGACAAAGGGGAGGTTGTCCTGAATTGAGCAAACTGTTCTCCCATTGTCTCCAGCGTCTTGGTCTCGTATGCTGAAAACAGCGACCACCATCTCAGGTGAAGAGTTTTCCGGTATGGGGCTGGTAAGAGATGTCATGGCTATTTCTGGCGGGTTGTCATTCACATCTACAACCCGAACTAAAATGCTTGATTTTCCAGAAAGGCTCCCACCTTCAATGGCCTGAATATTTATGATATAAGATTGAATAATCTCGAAATCTAGAGGGGCTTTTAAATAGACTTCGCCAGAAATTGGATGGATTTCAAATGTTTTCCGTACATCTCTGGAGACGTGGGAAAATGAATAAGACAGTTCTCCATTTATTCCTGCATCTAAATCTGTAGCAGACGCTTTGATGATCAAGGAGTCCAGAGGGCTGCTCTCAGGTACAAGAACTTCATAGACTGGCTTCTCAAATTCAGGGGCATTGTCACTGATGTCCAGGACCACAACGTTAATCAGTGTAGTCCCAGACCTGGGCGGAGACCCGCCATCCACGGCTGTTAGCGTTAAACTAAACTCAGACACCTTTTCTCGATCCAGGGATTGGTCCAGTACCAACTCTGGATATTTTCTGCCCTCATCGCTATCCCGTAATTTAAGGTGGAAATGGGGATTGGGACTTATTGTATAGTTTTGAACACCATTCTTTCCCACATCCAAGTCCTGCGCACTATCTATTTGGAATAAGGTTCCTAGAGTAGCACCTTCGGAGATTTTTAGAAGCATATGATTGTTTAGGAACGTGGGAGTGTGATCATTTATGTCTTTGACCAAAAGCTCAGCACGAAAAAATTGCAACGGATTTTCAAATAACACCTGGAAATGCAATATACATGGCTCTGTGAGATCACAAAGTGCCTCCCGGTCCAGCTGCTCGTTTAAGAGCAAGTCGCCATTCTGTGGATCCAATCGCAAATAAGGTTTATAGTCGTCAAAGATGACTCTGGCCCCCCCTTGCAGCCAGGTCTTCCACATCCAAACCCATGTCTTTCACCACGTTGGCTATAAAGGTACCGACCTCCATTTCCTCTGCTATGGAATAGCTCCCGGTCTCAGAACACACCAAAGACCCTCCCAGGAAAACAAAGAAAAGCAGCACTTGCCTTGTCCGCTGAGCTCTTCCCTTTCCCGGCTCCATAGCTCCTTAGCCAAACGTCTTTCTGGCGTAAACGTTTCAACTCAGTCTCTAGCAGCTCTTAAAGTTGCTCCTCTCACCTATCAGCCTGGACCTTTGGGAATCTAGAAACTCTTAATCCTGTCGCGAAGGTGTTGATGGTGCCCTACCTTTTGAAAGACTATTTTCTCCTGGTATTCCAGCGCTTTCAGTTCCCATGGTTAAGGAAAACCAGAGCATCTGCGGTTACAAAAATTTCACCGTCTTATCCTGCAGCGCCACCATGCGACTCTGCAGATATTCAGGTTTTAGATAAATTCCAATACGTTTCAGACAAAATATTAATTTTTCTTGTGTGTTTGTCTATAAATTTAAATTATATGCTCCTTCTATATGCCTATTTTCCGAGTTGCATTTTTGTGATATGTGATGCCATTACCTTTCCATCATCAGCCACAATCTGCTATAGCTGTAGTAGATATAAGAAGCATATTTAAGATGTAGCCCCTGCCTCAAACGAGTTATGATCTCTCTGTGAAGACAATATATTAAACAACTAAAGATAGTGAAGAATACTCTTACATGTAATTGACTTAGTAGGCAACAGATTTTTAGTAAAATTGGAAATGAGAATTAGAGGTCTTAGCTCTCTCCACAACTACTCTTCGAAAAGAGGAATGACATCATGTACTTGAAAATGAACCTGGTATATGAAAACAGTTGCTTTGGAAAGGTTGGACATTTTGAGCTGCATAAATGGTACGATTTATTTAGGGATACTCAGTAGGAGACTTAGCTGGCAGGAGTAGAAAATAAATGCTCAGAAGTAGTGAGTAAAATAAAACATTTCTGGTTTTCAATCTAAAAGCAAGTCCAGTTAAACATTTTTTAAAATGTGAACAAATTAGACCTCAGTTTAGTTGTGAAACTGAATTTCATCATTTGCAGACCCAGGCTTTCCAGAGGCACAATTTTAAATATGTTTATATATCTATTAATTAATTAGCTTAGCAGATAGTTATTGAGAATATACTTTGTGCAAGGAATGGTCATAAGTGTTAGGGATAGAATGGTAAACAGACATAGTTCCTGCCATGCAAGAGGGAGACAGAAAAATGACCATGTATTTTAAATAGAGCACAATGAATGTCATGATAAAGGAAGTTCATGCTACTACAAGGGCATAGATGATGGTCATCTAACCAGAATTTGGAAATACAAGACAGATTTTTCTGGAGAAAGTATTCTCTAAGTTGATACATTAAAAATTAATAGGAGTACTTTAAACAAAAATTGGGTATGGGGTAAAATTGTTCAGGAAAACTAAAAACAAGATTGTGCAAATGCAAATAAAGAGAAGTATTTGGAGGAAATAAAATCAATATGGCTAAGACATAGAGCAAGAGGAGAGAAGTGGTAAGAGTTGAAATTGGAAAGATAAGCATATATTTTTTAACTATGTCAAAGTATTTGGACTTTATGCCAGTAGAAATGCAGGGTTATTAAAGGGATTATAATTAAAACAGGAAAGTGGCATGATTATGTTTCTACTTTTTAAAAAGATTATCCTGTTTCAGAGTTGAGAATAAATTAGAGAGGAATAAGATTAAAGGTGAGAGATTGATTACAAATGGTTGCAATAATACAAGTAAGAGGAAACATTGGCCTCAACTAGAAATGCAGTGAAGGGGTTGTATTAGAATGATAAAACAATAGGGGTGTGGTGATCAACATAGAAGGAGTGGGGTAGAAAGGCATGAAGGTAAATGTACTTTGTCTTCAGGCTTAGGGAACTGAGTGACTGTTGGTTCTATTAACTGATAAACACAGGAAGAGCAGAAGAAAGAGGAATAGATATGGAGCTGGTTGGTGAAGGTATATTTAGTTTTGAGGAAGGGAACAGTTTTAATTTTAAACGGATGAGTTTGAGCATCCATATAGACAGTTATATAAATTAGCTTCTATTACATAAATGCAGTTGAGGAAAGACGTTTGGGCTATAGAGTCACATTTGGCATAAATGGTGATTAAAGCTCTTCAGGAAAGATAATAAGTTGCAGATTAAAAGAAGTATATTTGAATTTGTGACTTCAGACTTGATGTAGTTTTCAGAGATTACCATCTCCAGAGAGAGGCCATGGTTATAGGTGACTAAGCTAGAGTAGAAGTGAATGTCATTAGAGATGAAGAAGGCTAGAAACAGAGATAGGTCAAACTCTTGGACCCAGAATTGTTGCAAGGGATGGGCAAAGAGGAAAACTATAAGAAGTCACATTTAAGAGATAAAATGTCTTTATGCTACTTCTTTCTTGTCATCTGGAATAATTTAAAATTAAACTGATATCAAGTTGAGTTCATGCTCTCATTTGATGACTCTTACATGCAAAGACCATTTAGGTAGAAATGTTTGCCAACTTCCTTCAGTACATTAAAGATATCTTACTTTCTATTTTTTTCTATTGCTACTGTTGAGAAACATGGAGCATAGCTGTCAGTCTGTCATGTGCTTCAGGGTTCAATGTCCTTTTCCCATGGCTTTTGAAAAAAAAGATTTCTCTTTTTCTTTGGTTTTCTGAGCTTTCAATATGTTTCTAGATATGGATATCTTTTTAAATTTATCCTGTTAGGTTTATTTAGGTCTCTTAAATCTGCTTGTTGAAGTTTTCATCAATTCTGAAGAATTCAAATTATTATTTCTTTAACTATTGCTTCTGATACAATTTTTCTCTGATCTCCTTGTTCTGGTTAAACATATGTTAAACTTTTTTACTTTGTCCTCTGTTTCTAATATTCTCTTCTGTATTTTTCATCTTATCAACTTTCTGACCTACATATTGGATAAATTATATCCTCATCTATCTTTCTTTTCAGTAATTATTTGTTTAGTTATATCTAATCTTCTATTAAATTTTCTAGTTGGTTTAAAATTTTGATTATTATAGTTTTTCATTTCTAGGAGTTCTATTTTGTTTTCTAATCTGTCAAATTTTATAGTATTTTTCCCTGTACACCTTCAGGTTTAACTTTTATTTCAATTAAAGTGCCTAGCATATTGTAGACTGTGTCTGATAATTACAATATTTGAAATGCTTGCAAGTTTATTTTTATGTTCCTTTTTTCTGCTGGCTCTCACTCATAGTGTCACGTTCTCTTGTGTATGCACTTATCTTTGACTGTTTATGTTAAGAACATAAAAAATTAGTTGTATGAATGATTTGAGGCTTAGAGTGAATAAACGTTCAAACATTCAGAAACTGGGCGACAGAGCGAGACTCCGTCTCAAAAAAAAAAAGCTGTAAGGTCACATTCACATTCACTATAAGAAGTCAGATTTTGACTGGGTGCGGTGGCTCACGCCTGTAATCCCAGCACTTTGGGAGGCTGAGGCAGGCGGATCACCTGAGGTAGGGAGTTCAAGACCAGCCTGACCAACATGGAGAAACCCCATGTCTACTTAAAAAAAAAAAAAAAAAAGCCGGGCGTGGTGGTGCATGCCTGTAATCCCAGCTACTAGGGAGGCTGAGGCAGGAGAATCTCTTAAATCCAGGAGGTGGAGGTTGTAGTGGGCAGAGATCGTGCCATTGCACTCCAGCCTGGGCAACAAGAGCGAAACTCTGTCTCGAAAAAAAAAGAAGTTAGATTTCATAAAACATCTGCATTTGATTCTATCAGTTCCTGGGAGAACTGTCAATGATCACTTTAAATCAAGTTTAAGGCTAAATATCAAGTTCAAGGCTGAAATTCCCCACAAGGGTTCATCCATTTCCAGTTTACTCTCACTCCAAGGGTGTGGCTCTTAGGGATCCATGCTTATTAATAGAGGTTCAAGTTTTCCAGGATTCCCAAGGAAAAAGTAGATTTTGGTCTTGCTTATCTCTCTGGGTTTCCTTTTACCATTAACTTTAACCTGACAATATATTAATATCTTAATAGCTAATTGTTTTCAGTGAAATCATTGTGCTACATAATTTTTACCAACCTTATTAAAAATGTAAAGTCTCAGGGATATTGTTGCAACTCAAAATTACAAGTAAACTCTTAGCTTTCATATTCTATGGGCAACTGATTATTTTGGAAGGCTAAGAAATAATAGTATTTTTAAACAACTTCAACTGTTCAATGCTAAATCAATTCTATAATGACATAATGAATTGAAACAATCTCTTGGAAGAGACAACTGCCATTTAATTGGTATTCATTCTCACTTCTTTCTATACCCCTTATTCCCCTATATGTGCACAAATAGCTTTCCTATATTCTCTCTTCTCTCCCTTCATAAAGTGTATTTATATATTTGCATATTTCTATAAATAAGGAGAAAATTTTCGCAACCTATTCATCTGACAAAGGGCTAATATCCAGAATCTACAATGAACTCAAACAAATTTACAAGAAAAAAACAAACAACCCCATCAAAAAGTGGGCGAAGGACATGAACAGACACTTCTCAAAAGAAGACATTTATGCAGCCAAAAAACAGATGAAAAAATGCTCATCATCACTGGCCATCAGAGAAATGCAAATCAAAACCACTATGAGATACCATCTCACACCAGTTAGAATGGCAATCATTAAAAAGTCAGGAAACAACAGGTGCTGGAGAGGATGTGGAGAAATAGGAACACTTTTACACTGTTGGTGGGACTGTATACTGGTTCAACCATTGTGGAAGTCAGTGTGGCGATTCCTCAGGGTTCTAGAACTAGAATACCATTTGACCCAGCCATCCCATTACTGGGTATATACCCAAATGACTATAAATCATGCTGCTATAAAGACACATGCACACGTATGTTTATTGAGGCATTATTCACAATAGCAAAGACTTGGAACCAACCCAAATGTCCAACAATGATAGACTGGATTAAGAAAATGTGGCACATATACACCATGGAATACTATGCAGCCATAAAAAATGATGAGTTCATGTCCTTTGTAGGGACATGGATGAAATTGGAAATCATCATTCTCAGTAAACTATCGCAAAAACAAAAAACCAAACACCGCATATTCTCACTCATAGGTGGGAATTGAACATTGAGATCACATGGACACAGGAAGGGGAATATCATACTCTGGGGACTGTGGTGGGGTGGGGGGAGGGGGGAGGGATAGCATTGGGAGATATACCTAATGCTAGTTGACGAGTTAGTGGGTGCAGCGCACCAGCATGGCACATGTATACATATGTAACTAACCTGCACAAGGTGCACATGTACCCTAAAACTTAAAGTATAATAAAAAAAAAAGATATTGTGTATATCACCATACTATAAATCTTTGTCTTTTTTCTTTTAAAACATTTGAGATTTATTTATGTGATTGCATGTCTAGCTAACTCCTTTTGATCACTGCATAATAATCCTTCACTAACATGTTACACATTTTATCAATTGCTTTACTGATGGATATGTAAGTGGAGTCCTATTCTTCACTTTCCCAGGATGAATATTCTTATATACATCATTTTGTAAAGCTCTTTAAGAGTTTTCTGGCTTACACACTCCAATAGAATTGCTGAATTATAGAGTACATATATATTAAATTTTACTAAATACTATCAGAAAGCTCTCTAAATAGGCTGTACATGTCATTTCCTATTATTCCACTTGATATTACCCAAATCTCTCATCTTTACTAATTTTAGTGTATGTTTCACCAACTAAAAGGGTTGAACTTCATTTAAAGCTATTTTCAGGCTGTTTTCCCTTTTTTTGAATTTCCATTTCCTTTGTCTTAAAAAATCCTATTGTCTCTCCTGGCTTTGTTGTTGTTGATTTGCAAGAGTTATTTGAATAATGTAAATATTAATCTTGTCAGTTAAAATACTGCAGGTGGCTTCTCACTGTCATCTGTTAGTTTGTCTGTGCTATCCTTTAATTTTGAGGCAGTAATATTCATCAGTTTGTATTTTTCTTTTTTGTGCTTTAAAGCCTTGTTAAGAAATCCAAACCCAAACTAAGATGATATGAATATTTTTACCTAGATTTATTTCATCTCTTCCAATTCAAATATTTCAAATTCACCTATTACATACATATGAAGGTTGTTTTTATATGACATGAGATAGGGATTTTGTTTTTGTATATAGTGAGCCAATCTCCCCAATAACGTTTGCTAAATAATCTCTCTTCTCCACCAACCCCAGTTTTTACGATACCTCCTGTGACCAAGTTGTCTTATATAAGAGGATCTGATCCTGGGTTCTATTCTATCTGGTAGTCTATGAGTCTGTTCCTGAATCATTCAGATAGATTTACTTACTTCATATTTGTAATATGTACTAATATCTATAATGTAAGGCATTCCCTCATTTTTCTTTTTAAAAATTATCCTAGCTCTTCATGCAACTTGTTCTTCTATATTAATATTAGAAACCATTTTTAGATCCTTAACTACTTATGATGGATTTCACTGGAATTGCATTGAATTTATAAATTATTTTGGGAAGCATAGATCTTTATTAAGTTGTTCTATCAAGGAACTAGCATCTGTCTCAATTAACTCAGACATTTAATTATTTCATTTAATGTTTTATTGACATCATTCACTTTTCCACAAAGGTTTTCTGACTTGTTAGCCTAATTTCTAGAAACATTATAGTTTCAATACTATTTTAAATTTTCATTTATAATTGATAATACTGAGGTTAAAAATACACTTTTATTTCTCTTTCCATTTCACTTTTTTCTACCTTATTCTAGTCTTTCTTCTCTCTTTCTTTAGTTTTTAGTTACTTCAGTTTTTACATTAGCAGTGACTTAAGAGCACAGTTTTGCCTCTTATGACTCTGAGGGAAAAAGGGGACCCAAATATTCTTTTCAGGATTTTATTGTTTAAATGTCAATTTTAAGAAATCCACACAACAAATAACTACTTGTTACAACGAAAAATAAAATCAGTGATAATTGCATAAAGTAGAGGGAAGAAATCTAAGGAAACTGGAATTTGTTTCACCTATTTCACAATGGCAAGTGAAATTCCATTTTACTACATCATCTGGTCTATAATAGTATTTAATCTTGTAAGAGCAATTTCAAAATGTATATGTACACCAGCCCTATATCCATACTACATTCCAGTTATCAAAATCTCTATCTATAATCTTCTATAGAACTTTCTTTTAGAGCTGAGATATAATATGTTACATGATGAGGCAACTATAAACCATAAATGCCTACCCATTCCTTCTTTGTAGGCATCTGAGAGAGGCCACAAAGTGTTAATGATGTTTTATATTTACTCAATAATTAATAGGAAAGTGAAACTAAATCATTTCTTTAACAGTTTGAATCTTCATTTCAATTTCTTATGAAGTTCTTGCTTTGTACTCATCTGATGGAAGGCTATTTTACCCAGGATAAGACCCTAAATTATTTTCTGCTTTAGTAATAAACAACACAAAATTTAAGCTAGTAAACACGGTGTATTTAAAGAAAACTAGGCCAGACGTAATGGCTCATGCCTGTAATCCTAGCACGTTGGGAGGCCAAAGCAGGTGGATCACTTGAGTTCAGGAGTTCGAGACTAGCCTGGGCCACATGGCAAAACTCCATCTCTACCACATATACAAAAATTTAGCTAGGCATCGTGGCGGGTGCCTGTAGTTTGAGCTATTTAATAGGCCGAAGCAGGAGGATTGCCTGAGCCCAGGATGTCGAGGCTGCAGTGAGCCAAGATCCTGCCACTACTCTCTAGCCTGGACAACAAAGTGAGACTTTGTCTCAAAAAACAAAAACAAAAAACTAGCTAAGGCGGGCAGATCGCTTGAGCCAAGGAGTTCCAGACCAGACTGGGAAACATGGCAAGATTCCATCTGTACAAAAAAAATACAAAAGAATTAGCCAGGCCGTAGTGGCCTGTGCTGGTGATCCAGCTACTCAGGAGGCTGAGGCAGGAGAATCACCTGAACCCAGGAAGTCAAGGCGGCAGTGAGCCATGATGGTGCCACTGCATTCCAGCCAGGTCAATGGAATGAGACCCTGTCTCAAAAAACATAAATAAATAGAATTAAATTAAGAAAACCAAAGAGTGACAGCAAAGCCCAGAGCATTATAAGACTCTTCCTCCACAACAGGATTATCAACAAAAGCAGTTACAGAAAAAATTACTTAAGAAATTAATAATTTCCAATGTGACCACTTAAGTTTCATCATAAAGTAAATATTTGAAAAACTAATAAGGTTCTCCAGAACTGAAAATGGAGGGATAGCATCTTTGTTACCCTTTCTAAAGAACATTTTCAGAGAGAATAGTGGGATAAACGCACTACATTTTCGACCCAGATTCAGCAACGCTTTTTATTTTTATTTTATGCTTTGATGGTGTCTAGATTTAAGTTACATATATAATGACATTAGCTCTTAATACTTTAGTTTGCATATCCAAATAATTGAGAATATGGTCTTGCATAATACCATTATCACAGCAAAAATAGCAATAACTCCATTAATATAACATTTTGGCCAAATAAATGAAAAACCAGAAAACACAGATTACATTTCCACGTCATTATAGCCACTAATAAAGATTTTTAAAGAAACTGTGAGAAAAACAAGAGCTATAATCATGCATGCAACTACAGTACAACCAAGAATCCACAAAAGATTATGCAAAAAGTACCATCAGCTTGCCAAGAATAACCAAAAATTAGACATTTAAAATAAATTGTTTTATTGAATGTTAAGTCCAAAGCTATTTCGAAAGTTCTCGATTTCCCCCATATTCCTACCAGTGTCATGAACTTGAAAATTGGGGATAATCGGCTTCAGAAATTTGAACTCATTTGTCCCGGAACCTCCTGTCAGACACACCTCGTATTGGTAGCTCTGGGACAGGGTCCCGGTGCCGCTCACGTCCACCAGATGCCCTGGAAAGGGACCCTCGGGCACCGAGCAGCGACCCACCGAGGCCGCCCTGCTCCTCCTGCACAGCCGCACCGCCACGAACAGGAGCACCGAGAAGAGGAAGAGCGACGACACCGAGGCCAATGCCACCACCAGGTAGACGGTGAGGGAGTCGGCCTGGGCCTGGGCCGGGGCCGCCTCAGGGAGCGGCAGGTAGGGCTGGGAGAAGCCGTCCACCAGGAGCACGTGCAGCGTGGCGGTGGCCGAGCGAGGAGGCTCGCCATTGTCCTTGACCAGCACCACCAGCCTGTGCTTGGCCGCGTCGCGCTCGCTCAGCAGCCTGGCGGTGCGCACCTCGCCATTGTGCGCCCACACGCCGAACAGCCCGGGCTCCGTGGCCTTGAGCAGCTGGTACGACAGCCAGGCGTTCTGGCCCGAGTCGCCGTCCACCGCCACCACCTTGGTCACCAGGTAGCCCGGCTCGGCCGCCCGGGGCACCAGCTCGGTGCAGGGCGCGGAGCCGTTCTGCAGCGGGTACAGCACGAAGGGCGAGTTGTCGTTGGCGTCCAGCACCAGCACGCGCACCAGCGCCTCGCTGCTCAACGCCGGGGACCCGCGGTCTGTGGCGCCCACGCGAAACTCGAACTCCTGTAGGGCCTCGTAGTCCAGCGACCTGAGGGCAAACAGGTGGCCATTGTCCGCGTTGATGGAGACCAAGGAGGCGAGGGGCAGGTGCCGGTCCTGGGGCGGCAGCAGCGAGTAGTTGACCTGGGCGTTGGTGCCTGAGTCTCTGTCTGTGGCGCTGACGCTGCCGATGTGCAGGGCGGGGCTGTTGTTCTCGCGGACGAACAGGGTGTAGGAGGTTTGGGTGAAGGTGGGGGCGTTGTCATTGACGTCAGAGAGCAGCACGGTTATGTTGTACTCGGTTTTCAGCCTGGGTGTCCCCAAGTCTGTGACGGTGATCGTGATGTTGTACTCGGCTTGGCTCTCTCTGTCCAGTGCTTTTTCAGAAACTAGAGTGAAAAAGTTCTTGAAGGTCGGTTTCAGGAAAAAAGGGAGGTTATCTTGAATAGAGCAAATCATCCTCCCATTGTCTCCAGAGTCTTGGTCTAGGATACTAAAAAGAGCTACTAGGGTCTCTGAGGCATTCTCTGGAATTCTCTTTGTAATCGACGATATGGTCACTTCTGGTGGGTTGTCGTTTATATCCATAACTTTAACTAGAAGGGTGCATTTTCCTGAAAGACCCCCACCATCTGTTGCCTGAATATTTATAGTGTAGGACTGTATTACTTCAAAATCCAGGGGTGATCTCAAATTAACTTCCCCAGATATTGGATTAATTTCAAATGTTTTACGAATATCTTCTGATGCATGGAAAAATGTGTAAGATATTTTTCCATAGTTTCCTGCATCCAGATCCTTAGCTGAGATGGTGGCAATCCAGGAGCCAAGGGGTCTGTCCTCGGGGACTTGCACCTCATAGAGACTCTGAGGAAACTCAGGGGCATTATCATTGATGTCCAACACCTTGATGAGAACCAAAGTTGTCCCAGACTTGGGCGGGGATCCACCATCCACTGCTGTGAGTGTTAATCTGAGTTCAGCTTCCTGTTCATAATCTAAAGCTCTATCTAGGACCAGCTCTGGGTATATCTTTCTGTCACTACTGTCGGGAATTTTAATGTAGAAGTGAGAATTGGGGCTAATTGTGTAGTTTTGGAGACTGTTGCTTCCGACATCCAAATCTTGAGCACTCTCCATTAGAAAGGTAGCTCCAACAGTGGTACCTTCTGATATTTTAATAAGTATTTCCTTGTCTAGAAATGTAGGGGAGTGATCATTTATGTCTTTGACACACAGCTCAAACCGAAAAAACTGTAAAGGGTTTTCCAAAACCACCTGAAAATGCAGCACACAGGGCTCGGTGGAGCCACACAGCTCGTCTCGGTCTAGTTTCTCATTTAGGAGCAAATTCCCAGTCAGCAAATCAAGGTGCAAATACTTTTTATTATCATCAGACACTACCCGGGCTTCACGTGAAGACAGCTCCTCCACCCCCAGCCCTAGGTCCCTCGCTAGATTAGCCACAAAAGAGCCAATTTCTGTTTCCTCTGCCACAGAATAGTGTGCAGATTCAGTACCTGCCCGAGACAATCCCAGCAAAACAAGGAATATTAGAACTTGCCTTTTTCGCAGATCGAGTGCCCCTCTGATCTCCATGGTTCCTTTAGGCAATCTCTTGTGGAAAAACTGAAGCTCAGCCGTAATTTTGGAAGCTGAAGCTCTGGTTTTTAACAGGAACCCCCTGGAGAGTGTATCCTCCAGCAGCTCTGTAGGCGAAGCTCCTTTAATGCCTGTCTTTTCAGTGGGTTGGATGCTTTCTGTTCTCCTGAATAGCGAAGCTCACCGTGCCAGCCTATGTACTGTTTTCGTCTTATCCTGTAGCGCCACCATGTGTCTCCATGTTTTTTTTTTCATTAAAAAAGTTTTCCTCTTTGAAAAAGTAATTCATAAATACATCCGGAACATTCGAAACAAATCCCAGACATCATTTTTTTTCCTTTAAATACTTCACTAAGTATTTTTAATAGGTAAGGCCTTCTAAAAGATAATTGTAATAAAACGTTCACAATCAACAACTTGAGCAATAATTCCTTGGTGTAATTTATACTGCATTTGGTTTTCCCCAGTTCTCTCCAAAATGTCCTTTGCTGTTGGTTTGTTTGAATTTGAATCCAGAAAAGTCCATACACTGCATTATCACTGTTTTGAATGCTCGGCACTAAAGGATCTGTTAAAATATTCTGAACTGAAGAAATAATTTTTTATTTAAGTCATTTCTCGAGTAATTACAAATATATTATCTCCTTCACTCTTGTAAATACTTGTTGTCAGCTATAGTTGGTAATATCATTACTTTTTTCACTTTTATATTTTAAAAATATAAAGAAGGACATGGCACAAATAAGTTAGAGATAATTCTTGCTCTTACAGAGCTCACAAGCTAGAAAAATTGGCAGACAAGTAAACGAAGTATGTCATAATGTATGCATTTATAAAAAGTAATATAGAAATACCTAGAAAAGACTTCTTGTACCTAGGAGGCTGCATACCTTAGTGCTTGGGAATATGGGATCTGGAACCAAATTATCAATATTAGAATCCTGGTTATGTGACTTACTATCTATAAGCTTGGGCAAGTTATAGATACCTTTGTTTCCTCACCTGTAAAATGGGGTAATAATATTTGTCTCCTATGATTATTATCGTAGGCATCTAATGAATTAATATTTACAAAGTGGTTTGTAAGTGCTGGTTAAGTGTCTGTCAAAAATAAAATAATTAAGATCAAAGTCGGACTTGGGACATCAGTGAAAGCTTTCCTGAGGTAATGAAAAATACATTGTGATCTGAAGGAACTAGCCAGGAGAAGGAGGAATATTTCAGATGGGCATTTTGAGGAACACAGAGAAATGAAGTATGCCTTGGACTTTAAAAACTATGGAAGGGGAGGGTCTAACAATGAAATTAGGGTTAAAAGCATGGTGAGAACATGAATCATTATACAGGTCATATCATGCATTCTTGAATTTATCCTAAAGGTAATTCAAGTACAAAGATGGGTTTTAAATATCTGATTAACATGATTACATCTGCATTTTAAAAAATCAGTTTGGCTGCAGTATGGAGAATTAATTTCAGGGGGAGTGACTGGAGAATCAAGGAGATCAGATAAGAGATGATGATCTGGATGAGGATAATGCCAGTGTGGATGGAGAGAAGAGGGATGAATAGAAAGGTATGAGGAGATGAAATGTTTTCAACTGTTGGTTGATAGGTTGCATGGGGAGAAAAATGGGAAAGACTCAGAGATGATATCACACCTCTGGACTGGGCATCTGGATGACTAGTGGTGTCATTCACTAGGACAGGGAATGCTAAAAAAAAACATGATTGGGGTGGAAAAAGATGAAGTGTTCAGTTTTGAACATGCTGATATTGAGGTAAGTGCCTGTAGGATGTGTGTTTGCGTGGTGGTGGGGTGTGTGTGTGTGTGTTTGCATATAACCAAAGCATAGGAAATAAATCTGAGCTGGCAATATGAACTGTGGTGTGTATATATGTATATATATAGAGAGAGACAGAGAGAGACAGAGAGAGAGAGCATATATATAGCATATATATAGAGAGAGAGCATATATATAGCATATATACAGAGAGCATATATATAGCATATATATATATATAGCATTCATGGTTTCAATCACCATATATATATATATATATATATATATACACACCATGAATGCTCTAGGATAACCAAGCAAAAGTGTGTCAAATAAGTATAAAAGAGGCTTGGCACAGAACTCTGAGAAACATCTTCATTTAGAGGAGACAGGGCAAGAAGTATATTTGAAAAGATAAAGAAGGCTCAGAGTTCAAAATCATGAAATCAAAAGCAAATAGCATTTTAAGGAGATAAGGAAGATCAATGGCTGCAAATGCTTCAGAAAAATCAAGAAAAATAAGTATGACAATTATCCAGTGGGCTTAAAAAGATGGTCATTGTGGAGGATTCTGATAGATGTCTGACAAAATCTGTTTTCCTTTGCTTCTATAGTAATAGAACTGTGCCCAGGTATGTGGCCATGAAGGTAGATTGCCCATCCCAGCCTCCCTTGTATTTGAGTGTGGCCAAGTGAATTAAGTTCTCACAGATGGATTGTGAGCAGAATTTCTGTCTTCCCCTTCCAGTTATAGAACAGAAATCATCTGGATATGCCTCTTTCTTCCAAGCGAGCTAGAACCCAGATGTGACAGTGACCCAGCTACAGCCATGCAGATTATATTGCCATAGGGAATGTTGAAGAAATTACTTGAAAGAAAATTTGGTTTCAGAAGGACTGTGAGGATGAAAGCTGCCCTACCTACCTAATAATTTTTACATTGGTACTGTCATGTGAAAAAGAGAGACATGTTTACAAGCCACTGTGTCATTGCATCACATTGGTTCCACAGTATAATCTTAACTTATATGGAAATCTTTGATAACATTTGCAATAGCAGTTTCAGTAGAATGGTTGTGATGAAAATTAGATTGTACTTCGGTGCAAAGTGAGGCGGATGAGGAAGCAAAAATGAGGTAAACCGCTCTTTCAACAATTTTTTTTTTGAGACAGGGTCTCAGTCTGTCACCCAGGCTCACTGGCTCACTGCATCCAGGCTCTCAAGAAATTTGTAAAGAATGAAAAGGCTGTAAAAGGAATAAGAAATACATTGGTATCTGGAGAAGAATTCAGACTCAGAGAGTATTTTAAAGACTAGAGAAACTTGAATATATTTAAAATGCCAATGTGTAATGTTCAGTAGGGAAGGAGAAAATTAAGATACAGAAGGGATAATGCAAGTCCCCTAGAAAGGTTGTTAAAGATGGGATCCAGGCAATGTATGAAGTGTTTGGATTTAGACCAGTGGGACGGACCTCAGCAGGTGAAAAGTATAGATACAGATGCTGTTAAAGCTGTGGAGTAGGGGACAGGAAAATGAATTTCTAGCTGATGGATTCTATTTTCTCAATAAGGTATCAGGCAAGTTCATCGGATAAAAGGGGGTATCTAAGTGGTAGGGTAAGAAGTTTAAAGTAAGATACGTAGGTTTAAAATAGTTGTTGTGGAGCGTAGAAGAGAAAGCTCGTTAGAAAAATTATAAAAGGAGTTCTTGGTCTCAGAAGCCCAATTAGGTTTGAATATTATACATTTATAGTGGCAGTGGTATTGCTAATTTTGTAAGTTTGGTCTTATAGAGTGCAGCACCCCATGTGTAAGAGAGGAGGAGGACTATATTCATCTGGGCTGGAGTTTCATCAGGTGGTTTTAGTGAAGGAAAATTGAACAAGGGAATTGAGAATATGGGCATGAGAGCAACTGGGAGTGGTAAACCAGGAAATCAGCTGAATAGGAAGGAAATTAAAACAGGAGCGTTTGATAGGTAGTAACAGCACCATGGAATGGAGCTCTGATAAGGTCAAAGACAAGATGTGATAGAAACAGCAGAATGAGAAGGTTATAGGCATAGACAATTGTGCACTCAGAGGGAGATAGCTGAAATTATTATATCATAGAACAGTTTCTTGGTGGGGAAAAAGTACAATATGTAGCCAGGGCATTAATGACTGAAAAACAGGAGTAGAGGTAAAGACTTAGGGACTGAGAGGCCATGTTGTTAGATTAATCAGTGGACCCAGGAGTGGTGGTAGAACTTGAAACAGAAAGATAAAGAGAACAATGTGTTTGTAAGATAAAATGTCCTATGTCCCTTTTCCCTCCCATACTATTGCCTAAATAAAAAAAAAATACTGTTATTTGGTTTTTATTGTAAGCGTTTTCAGGAGAATCCATTCTGTAAGGCTGGGCCATCTCTTGTGTCTCTATTTTCTAAGTGTCCTTTAACCCCCGCTAGATAAAAAATTATATTCTAAGTTACTTACAACCTATAGTTCTTTCATATAAAATTGGCTGATACAGCTTGATTCCTATGCACTGTTTTAAGTATAACTATAAATGAGGTCTTTGAAGCATATAAGCAAAATTCGTTTTTAGCAATGCATTCTAGGAGAATTGGTTGGTTATATGTATCTGGGCATTTGAGCTCCTGAATGCCTGGTCACTCTTCATTAGAGCCAGGAAACTCATAGTTCTTTTTATAAAGAGAGGAGTCCTGCTGCTCATATATCTAGAAAAACTGGAAGTAACAGGACAAGTACTTGGCCCTTCTCTCCACTGTTGCACCAGCGAGATTTTCTGTCTGAGTTGTTTGAACTACTCTTTCCCACTCCACCAGTAGATATGAGAAGATCACAGGGAAGCTGCTAGAATAACTCCCACCTTTGGAGGCCAGAAGTTCAACAGCCTGGGCGACATGATGAGAACCCATCTCTACAAAAATTTTTTTTAAAATAGCTGGGGGTGCTACTCGGGAGACTGAGGCAGGAGAATGGCGGGAACCCAGGAGGCGGAGCTTGCAGTGAGCCGAGATCGCGCCACTGCACTCCAGCCTGGGTGACAGAGTGAGACTCTGCCTCAAAAACAAAACAAAACAAAAAACAAACAAACAAACAAAAATAGCTGTGGGGGGTGGCATGTGCCTGTGGTCCCGGCTACTTGGGATGCTGCGTCAGGAGGATTGCTTGAGCCCAGGAGGTCAAGGCTTCAGTGAGCTATGATTGCACCACTGCACTCCAGCCTAGGTGACTAAGACCCTGTCTCTAAAACATAAACAAAGAAAGAAAAAAGAAAAGAATAATTACTCAGTTGACAAAGCTCAACAGAACCAGTAGTGAAATCTGAGTCAGAAGTATAAACATTAGGTTGTCTTAGATATGCTATTAAAAGAGATTGCACTTCTTGGCATTATCAACTGACTAATACCCAGTCCCTCTACAATGTTAAGATAAAGTTTTAAAATATCTTCAAGAAGTAGTTGAGGCCAGGTGCTCATACCTGTAATCATAGCACTTTGGGAGGCTGAGGCAGGCAGACTGCTTGAGCTCAGGAATTCGAGACCAGTCTGGGCAATATGATGAAACCTCGTCTCTACTAAATATGCAAAAATTAGTGGGTGTGGTGGCCTGGGCCTGTAGTCCTGGGTACTAGGGAGGCTGAGGTGGGAGGATCACTTGAGCCCAGGAGGTGGAGGTTGCAGTGAGTGGAGATCACAGTGAGTGGAGATCACACCACTGCACTCCAGCCTGGGTGACAGAACAGGACCTTGTCTCAAAAAATAACATAAGAGAAGCAACTGAGTCTAGTCTGTGGCACTGGAAGTAGTCATTTTGCTCATCCCCATGAATTTCCTCTTTTCCATGCTTTCTCTCTCTCTCTCATACACATGCTTGTTTTGCCTCTATACTTTTACTCATTTTGTTATTCTACATTTTTCTCCCACAACATAGACTGTAGACTTTGATAAAAGTCATGGAAAATCTCCTCCTCCAACCTTGAAGTCTTTTTCTTACATAGTGTGTCAGATCCTTAAAGGTAAGAGTGATTTAACATGAGACAAAGCTACTCCCCTACAATGCTTTGAAAATTTTTTTAAAATTAGAACCCTAAGGGACTATCTTTTGATACTATCAATGTTCAACATCTGGTATGCTTTTATATGTCTGAGAAAAGTGGTTTTCAAACTTTGGGTTACTACCCACTAGTATACCATGAAATAAATTTAGTGGATCATGACCACATTTGAAAATTGAATAGAATGAAATATATAGGTAATTTCAAATTATGTCATAAAAAGACTAAGCATTGTTCACAAGCATTTATTTCTATTAAGCTTGTGTGTTTCAAAATATGTAAAATATAATCTTAACTATTGGTTGCAGTAAAAAAAGTTTGAAAAATAGTTTCTGGTGTATATACATTAAATTATATGATAGTACAGGCAAAAATTTTTACACATTAACACACAACTCCAATTTATGCTATATGAATTATTATTTGGGCACAGGCATCTGCATTCAACTAGATTGCACTAGAGCTTTGTGACATTAATTAAAAAATTATAGCTTCATATTCCCAGATTCTGTGATTGGTCACAATATTAATGTGCCTGCACAATCCTCTCCAGGATGAATGAGGAAAGGATACTAAAAAACTGGTCTTCTGACCCTTTCGAATCAAGTGATAACACTTAGAGTTGTATCATAGGATATAGGTTTTCTGGTTTATTTTTGAAAGCAAAAAGCATATTTAAAGGTTAACTAAAAACGCACTGGATTTACAAAAAAGAAAAATGATATGTCTGAATAGGAGTCATTATTTTAAGACTAAAAAAAGAGAATCAAATGAAGAAATGCTGGAAAATTGGAATCACTTCCAAATTGCTCTATTTAATTTTACCATAAGCATAATAGTGGGTGAAGTTCAGCTAAAGATAGGGGCATGAAAAAAATGTGATTTGGTATTGCTCTTTAGGGAGGCAAATTAATTACAAATTAAGACCATCTGGGTTAAAGAATGAATTGTCACCTTTTAAGAACCAGGAATAAAGGTAAATGTTCACTTTAAAACAAAGGGAGAAAGAACATGAGAAAAATCAAGAGTAAATCCGTACAATATTACATACACACAAATTGGGGGAAATAAACATTGGCATGGAAATGCCACAAAATAAAATACCTATGGAATGTAAAAGTCAACTATGGTCACTGAATATTGAACCCAAAGTTATTGGGGAAGGTAGAATTTCCTTGTATTTCTTTCCCAGGGCACTGGGGAGGGAAGTTGGGGATAATCGGCTTCAGGAACTTGAACTCATTGGTCCCTGAGCCTCCTGCCAGACACACCTCATACTGGTAGCTCTGGGATAGGGTCCTGGTGCCGCTCATGTCCACAAGATGCCCTGGAAGGGGGCCCTCGGGCACCAAGCAGCGACCCACCGAGGCCGCCCTGCTCCTCCTACACAGCCGCACCGCCACGAACAGGAGCACCGAAAAGAGGAAGAGCGAAGACACCGAGGCCAACGCCACCACCAGGTAGACGGTGAGCAAGTCGGCCTGGGCCTGGGTCGGGGCCGCCTCCGGGAGAGGCAGGTAGGGCTGGGAGAAGCCGTCCACCAGGAGCACGTGCAGCGTGGCGGTGGCCGAGCGCGGAGGCTCGCCATTGTCCTTGACCAGCACCACCAGCCTGTGCTTGGCCGCGTCGCGCTCGCTCAGCAGCCTGGCGGTGCGCACCTCGCCATTGTGCGCCCACACGCCGAACAGACCGAGCTCCGTGGCCTTGAGCAGCTGGTACGACAGCCAGGCGTTCTGGCCCGAGTCGCCGTCCACCGCCACCACCTTGGTCACCAGGTAGCCCGGCTCGGCCGCCCGGGGCACCAGCTCGGTGCAGGGCGCGGAGCCGTTCTGCAGCGGGTACAGCACGAAGGGCGAGTTGTCGTTGGCGTCCAGCACCACCACGCGCACCAGCGCCTCGCTGCTCAGCGCCGGGGAGCCGTGGTCTGAAGCGCCCACGCGGAACTGGAACCCCTGCAGGGCCTCGTAGTCCAGAGACCTGAGGGCGAACAGGTGGCCGTTGTCCGCGTTGATGGAGACCAGGGATGTGAGGGGCAGGTGCGGGTCCTGGGGCGGCAGCAGCGAGTAGGTGACCTGGGCGTTGGTGCCTGAGTCTCTGTCTGTAGCGCTGACGCTGCGGATGTGCAGGGCGGGGCTGTTGTTCTCGCGGACGAACAGGGTGTAGGAGGTTTGGGTGAAGGCGGGAGCGTTGTCATTGACATCGGCGATCAGCACGGTCATATTGAGCTGTGTTATCAGCATAGGGGTCCCCAAGTCAGTGACAGTGATAGTGATGTTGTATTCCGCTCTGCTTTCTCTGTCTAGTGGTCTCTCCGTTAGTAGGGTGTAAAAGTTTTCCGCGGATTTCAGGAGGAAGGGTAGATCCTCCTGAATGGAGCAACTAATTTTCCCATTTTCTCCTGAATCAAGATCTGAAACACTGAAAAGTGCAACCACAGTTTCAGGCGCGTTCTCAGGTATTGGGCTGGTAAATGCAGACATGGTAACTTCTGGGGCATGGTCGTTCACATCTATCACTTGAATCAGAACGGTGCATTTTCCAGAAAAGGTTCCAGCATCTCTTGCCTCAATATTGACTTCATAGGACTGAAGTTTTTCGAAATCGAGTTGTTTTTTTAGTTCAATTTCTCCTGTCAAGGGATTGATCTTAAAGGTTTTGCCAATCTCTTCTGAAGCTTGGAAAAGTGAATAGGAAATCTCTCCGTTGACTCCTGTGTCTACATCCGTGGCAGAGACCTTCACAACCAGGAAGCCTACCGGACTGTCCTCAGAGATCTGCACTCTATAGAAAGGCTGCTCAAATTCAGGGGCATTATCGTTGACATCCAGGACTTCGATGTAGACCTGAGCAGTGCCAGATCTGGGCGGAGAGCCACCATCCAGTGCTGTGAGTGTTAACCTGAGCTCAGCTTCTTCCTCTCGGTCCAGCGCTTTGTCCAGCACCAGCTCTGGGTATTTCCTGCCATCACTGCGTTTGCGGGTGAGGACCCGAAAATAGGAGTTGGGGCTGATTATATAGTTCTCAATATTGTTTTGGCCTACATCTAAGTCTTCGGCATTCTTCAGAGGAAACGTAGTCCCAGGAGGACTGCTCTCTGATACTTTCACCAACATTTGTTTGTCCAGAAATACTGGAGAGTGGTCGTTTATGTCTATTACTTGCAGCTCAGCTTGAAAAAACTCGAAGGGACTCTCTAGCAACACTTGGAAACGTAGCACACAGGGCTCTGTGTGACCGCACAGATCCTCACGGTCCAATTTCTCATTTAGCAACAAATCCGCGGTCTCCTGATTGAGCTGCAAATGTAGTTTGTTCCCTCTGGAAACAACCCTAACCCCCCGCCTGGAGAATTCCCTCTGCTCCAGACCCAGGTCCTTTGCTAAATTGGTGACAAAGGAGCTGCCCTCAGTTTCCTCCACCACAGAATAGCTTCTAGGTTCCGCCGCGCCCGCCAGAGATAAGCCCAAAAGGAGAAAGGAAAAAAGGACTTGCCTTTGTCTGCAAATGAGCTTCCCGCTGGCCTCCATTGTTCTTGCTGGATTCAGCTTCCTGGGAGGACGGTTCTGTGGGACTGTAAAGTCCCCAGTATCTGAGGCTGTGGTTATTCTACAGATACCTCAGAAATATGCCAGTGAGTAGTCCTCTCCAGAGGACCCAGCCGTCCTCCCTTTGGCATCCAAGCTCCCCGTGGACTTCCAGGTTCTGCTGCTTTTTGCCGGTTAATGGAGCTGCAGCTGCGGTTCTGGTTTGTGCCTTCTTATCCTGCAGCGCCACCACGCGTCCTCACAGGATCTTACATTTTGTGGAATGATAATGGATGTAATATTCCCAACTCTGCCTGTATGCACCCCGAGACTATGTAAGGTTACAACACCACCGTTAATATCGCCGGACTTTAGTGAGCAGACAACTGCCCAAAGGAGAAATCACATTAGTCTTTCAACAATGATAACTGAGTTTTGGGCAGAAAGGAAATATTTAGGTAATAGTCTAGCTTGGCAAAAAGAATTTCAAATATAATTGTAGTTATCATGGACAACATTTAGATCTTTATAGTTTTATTTCCATGAACCATAGGAATAATTAGTAGCTGTGAACCTCGAACAAATTATTTAATCTCTCTGCTTTAGTTTGCTCCTCTGTAAAGTGAGGATAAGAACAGTACCTACCACATAGGGCTGTTGTGAATTCCCCACCTTAAACATGAGGAATCTAATGCAAATAGATATTAACCTTAAAAATAAGGTATATACCAAGTATAAAGCAATTTGATGCCATCAAGTAACTGAGTCTTGATGGCATAAATCCATCATAAGTCTAGCATAAATCCATTACTATAACTAGATAAACACCTCGAAATTCAAATGGTAGAAGAATACAGGAGCATGACTATCTCAGGTAGAGAGGTTATGTCCAATAATGAAAGGAAATGAACAAGGAAAGGCTGGAGAGTTTGTCTAAATAGAGACAATATCTGTAACAGCAGTGGTGATTTTGTTTCTGGGAAGGATGTCCTTTTTTATTACCTCCACTTCTAACAGCATCAATTAAAAGACATTATTTTGAAATTTTTCAAATCTCATAAAAGAGAGGAGTATAATGATCCTCCAAGGACTCAGTACTAGCTTCAACTATTATCAATGTTTTGCCATAATTCTTGACTCTATCCCTTCAACATTTTCACATCCCAGACAAACTGAATTTTCTCCCACAAATACGTCATTATACATTTCTTTAAAAGCATCATGACTTTAAATGACTCTAAAAATATGCTTAAGTACAATGCCATTATCATACCTAAAAATCAAGTTAACATTATTTAATACCCATCTATATTCAAATTCTTCCAAGTTTTTCAAAGTCATTGCTGTTGTTTCAATCAAGATCCAAAAAAGATCCACACATTGTATTTGAGTGGTAGACCTCTTAAGATTTTTCCTTGTGTAAACTTCACTCCTCTTATTTTTTGAGCCATTTATTTGTCAGAGAAATTGGATAATTTTACCCTGAGACCATGAAAGCAATTTTAGATTTTACTACTGTGAGTTTTTGTCCTTAGATTCTATCCCACCAGTGATATGCAGTAATACTAGCTTTATTAGAGTTACTGGCACTAGTTTATAATATATTTAGAACACAACTATGCAAAAATTACCTATTTTAAATATAAGAATCGGTTATATATTTTTAACAAACAATGCTTCTCCTTAACTCCCCAAAATTTCTAAAAATTTAATGATCATCTATATTTCTCTTTGATATTACACATTTAAATCTATTCTTTTTCTTAAATTTTCCTGATTCAGCAGTGCAGTATAGGTAAGAAAAACTGCTAAAAACAAACTCTCAAATCAGGAAAATATATTACAAATGTAAGCATGGGTGACTCTGGAAATATACTACAATGTAAAGAAAATAATTAACTAATAATGCCATCAAAATTATGTACTATTCCTAATCAGGACCATTAATCTTTTCTGTGAAATGATAGTTATATGTTCAGGAGACAATGAGAAGGCATAGGTTGCTCTTTCAATTTTGTTTTTTACTTAAGATTTGGGCAGATCAGAGCATTAGTAATAATAGCTGAAAATTTACCCAGAAAAGCAAGATTACTGGTTTATAAGAAAATGAAATCATAGATAAAGTTTATTTCTAAATAAAGATTGAACAGTAGTATGAATACGATAAAAACTTTTCTTCTCTTTAGTTAGGCAGAAACTTGCCAGGTGATATCCAATGACAAAAACAGTATGGAATGGGAGCAAAGTCACTGACTTAGAGTCAGGCAGATCTAGGATGGATGCTCAGTTTTGTCACTTATTAGTTAGTGGACCTTAGTGAACTTACTGAATCTCTAAGACCGTCTATTTGGTCATTACTAAAATACCATGTCACATATGTTTCTTCTGAGATTAAAAGTGTGAAAATAGTGTATGATTCATAAAACAACTTTTTTTAAAAAAATAAAGTTTAAAAAGGTACACTACAATCTATGCTTCTGAAACTAGGGTAGGTATACTCGAACAGCATTCTAATCAACTCAGAAAACAAAAGTCACAGTAAATATTGAAAACAATGGAAAGCAATTTAAAATATCTCAAACAAGACTTACCACTTAATAGACTTTATATTAAGCATAATTGTTTGACATAAACCATTACACATGCACATTTCCTGCTTTGTGAAGTGTTCTTGGTACTAAATCTGTATCCTTTTCTATGTAAAGAAATTTATTTCTTGACTTGAAGAGTATGTATTTGAAGTGATCAAAAATACTACTTTACAGGCACCTCACGATAAGTTCCTAATTATAAATGTATTCATAAACACAGGTTTTATTTTTCATTCTTTATCAGAAACCCAAATTATTCTGAAATGGGGGATTTTCTTCGACTTCACTACCTGTGCTCTGGGGTAGGAAGTTGGGGATAATTGGTTTCAGAAATTTGAACTTATTTGACCTGGAGCCTCCAGTCACACACACCTCATAGTGGTAGCTCTGGGACAGGGTCCCGGTGCCACTCACGTCCACCAGATGTCCTGGAAAGGGGCCCTCAGGCACCGAGCAGCGACCGACCGGGGCCGCCCTGCTCCTCCTGCACAGCCGCACCGCCACGAACAGGAGCACCGAGAAGAGGAAGAGCGACGACACTGAGGCCAACGCCACCACCAGGTAGACAGTGAGCGAGTCGGCCTGGGCCTGGGCCGGGGCCGCCTCCGGGAGAGGCAGGTAGGGCTGGGAGAAGCCGTCCACCAGGAGCACGTGCAGCGTGGCGGTGGCCGAGCGCGGAGGCTCGCCATTGTCCTTGACCAGCACCACCAGCCTGTGCTTGGCCGCGTCGCGCTCGCTCAGCAGCCTGGCGGTGCGCACCTCGCCATTGTGCGCCCACACGCCGAATAGCCCGGGCTCCGTGGCCTTGAGCAGCTGGTACGACAGCCAGGCGTTCTGGCCCGAGTCACCGTCCACCGCCACCACCTTGGTCACCAGGTAGCCCGGCTCGGCCGCCCAGGGCACCAGCTCGGTGCAGGGCGCGGAGCCGTTCTGCAGCGGGTACAGCACGAAGGGCGAGTTGTCGTTGGCGTCCAGCACCAGCACGCGCACCAGCGCCTCGCTGCTCAAAGCCGGGGAGCCGTGGTCTGTGGCGCCCACGCGGAACTGGAACCCCTGCAGGGCCTCGTAGTCCAGCGACCTGAGGGCAAACAGGTGGCCGTTGTCCGCGTTGATGGAGACCAGGGAGGCGAGGGGCAGGTGCGGGTCCTGGGACGGCAGCAGCGAGTAGTTGACCTGGGCGTTGGTGCCCGAGTCTCTGTCTGTGGCGCTGATGCTGCCGATGTGCAGGGCGGGGCTGTTGTTCTCGCGGACGAACAGGGCGTAGGAAGTTTGGGTGAAGGCGGGGGCGTTGTCATTGACGTCGGAGACCAGCACGGTTATGTTGTGCTCGGTTTTTAGCCTGGGGGTCCCCAAGTCGGTGACGGTGATGGTGATGTTGTACTCGGCTCTGCTCTCTCTGTCCAGCGGTCTCTCTGTTTCCAAAGTGTAGTAATTATTTACCGAAGATTTTAGCACGAATGGGATGTCCTCCGGGATAGAACAAACCATCTTTCCGTTGTCCCCAGAGTCTCTGTCTCGTATCCTGAAAACCATAACCACAGTCTCTGGAGTGTTTTCTGGGATTGGACTGGTAATTGATGACACAGTGATTTCAGGAGCGTTGTCGTTTACATCCATCACCTGAATTCTGACTGTAGATTTTCCAAAAAGTCCTCCCCCATCTGTGGCTTGAATGATTATTGAGTATGACTCAATTGCTTCAAAATCCAAAGGTGCTGTTAAAGTAATGTCACCAGACTTTTGATTAATTTCAAATGTCTTGCGAATATCTTCTGAGGCATGGGAAAAGGTATAGGATAGTTCACTGTTTGTTCCAGAGTCTAAATCCCAGGCTGAGACGGTCACAACCAGGGAGCCAAGGATGCTATTCTCCAGAATCTTCACCTCATAAAAAGCCTGCTCAAACTCAGGGGAGTTGTCATTAATATCTACAACCACCACCCTGACCAAGGCAGTTCCAGACCTGGGAGGGGACCCGCCATCCAGAGCAGTGAGGATGAAACTGAGCTCCGGGCGCTCTTCATAATCCAGCGCCTTGTCCAGAACTAACTCAGGGTATTTCCTATTGTCTGGATTGACTCTTATTTTAACGTGGAAATGAGAGTTCGGATTTATTGTGTAGCTTTTTACAGCATTGATTCCTACATCTAAATCCTTTGCACTTTCAAGCAAGAACACAGCACCAACAGGACTGTTCTCTGGGATTTCTAAGAGCATTTCTTTTTCCAAGAAGACGGGAGAGTGATCATTTATATCCCTGACCTGGAGCTCAATTTGTAAAAACTGCGTGGGGTTTTTCATTAACACTTGGAAATACAGCACACAAGGCTCATTGGAGCCACAGAGCTCCTCCCTGTCTAGCATTTCTCTCAGGAGCAAATCCCCAGTGTTTGTGTCCAGCTGCAAACACTCTTTGTTATCATTAGAAACCACCCGAGCCCCCCGCGAAGACAGCTCACTCACCTCGAGTCCCAGGGTCTTTGCCAAATTTCCTACAAAGCTCCCGCTCTGCAATTCCTCCATCACCAAAAAGTTCCCAGTTTCAGAGCCCGCCTGAGACATTCCCAGCAAAACAAAGAAAAGCAGGACTTGCCTTATCTGCAGAGTGCCTGCCCCTCCGTTTTCCATAGCTTCTTTTCCAAAACCCCAAAATCTTCTTGCAGAATTGCCTCAGCGCCTCTTCGCAGTTGTGGGAAACGTGCCTCTGATCTGTCTACCAAATCCTCGGAAGCCTGAAGATTTTAACCTTGTTGAATGGCTTCTAGGTTCTCCCTTAAAGGATTGTTCTTTCTGTCTTCCCAGTTCTCCGCGTGTACTGGATAACAGGGTCTACAACATCCTCCAGGGTAATTTTTTTCTTGATATTATCCTGCAGCGCCACCACGCGTCTCCACAGATTTTCACAGTTTGATGAACACTACCTAAATTTTATTTACATAAATGTCCTCCAGAAGCAAATAAATATTGCGTTTAAATAATTCCTTCTGTTGAAGTAATTAAAAATATATTTTATCTTCCATAATAATCGTTTTATATTCTTTATAGTTTGTGATGATGATTTTGTTTTAAAGCATTTATTCAGTGTCTTTCCCCACTCTTCTCACAACCAAATGTGTTCAGTTGTGGTAAACACAGATACAAGATGTGATCCCTGGCTCCCAGGAATTCATAGTGTTTCTGAGACAATTGTAAGCCTGAAACAAGCAGGGTATAAGTGATTGTTAAGCTGAATGAAATTCTATTACTACTTGGCTTTCCTTACGTGATAAGGTAAAGGAAAGGTCATCTCAGAAATCCTTTCTGAAGTTATGAAACTGGATTAACCATGAGATGAGGCATATATAGGTCAACACAACAGCATAAAAAGGCACTTCTGTAGATTTCCTTAATAGCAATGAATTGTGAACAGGCAGAAAATGAAGCAAGAGATTGGGGTGGAACATGTTATGTAAACCCATCATTTAGTTCCAGTTTTTCATAATTTACAAAAAAATTCATAAGTACACAAGCATGAGCAAGTTAGTTTAATTTAAAGCAGACTCTTATTCCTAAAGCTGACTTGCCTTAGGTTCCCAAAATTTATTGTAGCCACAACTGTAGCTATCTGTTTTCTCTTTCAGCCCAGGAAGAGAAAGTAAGAGTCTATCCCTAAACATAGAACAAAAACCTAACTTTCACTCTAATTAGACCAAGTAAGATCATGTGTCTGCCACTGAAGCAATCATTGTTTCAAGAGGTATAGAATTATAGTTGGAGATTTTAGTCCTAGAATCTAAAGACCTGTCTCTGGCCATTACTGTGTTTTAATCCTGTCTGGGACCACCTCTTAAGCTTGGGAAGGTTTCAGTCCTAGCCAAAGTACCTCATTGGTACAAAATGAGGGAGACTGTTTGCAACAGATGCTAAGGGCTCATCAGTGATATTCACTATAGAAAGTCTTAAAGTGCACTAAGAATGGATGGGAGAAGAATCCAACAAGTCTGCATTTTAAAATGTTAAATTCAATTAATATTCTTAAAAATGTAAGCTGGATACATGGTTGAAATAGTAATTGGTACAGAAGGGTAAAACTTGAAAAGTAGATGAATTGAGCACACACAATTAACCTCTCTTTTTAAAAAAAAATATGCACTAAAATGGCAGAAAAGTAATTAAAATGGTAGGAACTAACAAAGATTAAGAATACACAAGTGAACACATACATTTTTCTATGACAGAAAGCAGGTGGAAGAGCAATTAACTTAGCAGTTCCAAAAAGTGCCCCTAAAGTAAAGTTCCTGCATTGAAGATACTCACAAGAAACATAATCTCTTTTAAGCGCAAGATCTGGAGGAACCAGATGTTTAAGAAGACTGAAGTCAGTTAAGGATGGAAAAAAGTTATTAGTTGGAAGTATGTGTAGAGGATAATTGAATTCTCTGTTCTTCTCATCACCCTACATAGATGGAAACATAACTCACAGCCAGAAAATAGAAAGTTTATTCTCTGGAGAAATTTAATGGGACTTTCTCTAGTCTTGGGGATCTAGGCACAGCTGAGCACAAGTGTGAGGTGTCAAACTGAAAATAGGGAGAGTAAGCAAACCTTTGCATTTTGCATGGTGAGACTTCTAATCCCTTTTCATGCAATACTCTTAGACTGTAGGACACAAAGTGTATGCCTGACCCCTAGTCTATCCCCATAGTGTATATTGTAGAATTCTAACCTGGAGAATATGAAAGCCCAAATGAAGACACATATTAATATTTGGCATCTCATAAGGTAATAGACTTATCCTAGCATGGTTATATTAGAATGAAGCCCTGCCATCAACAGGTACTGTTCGCTCACAGAGTTGATTGTCAGCATTTTGATATATCATCCTTCTAAAATACGAGAAGATAGCCAAGGCATTTGAGGAAATGCCTGCAACATAACATAGAAAGACCAAAACTACCACCATCGCTACCATCAAGAAAAAAAAAAGGAACAATAATATAGAAAGCAGAAGAAAGCCTTTGAAAATGTCTGGTTAATATTCCCAGAGAAAGAAAATCTAATAAAAGCTAATACTTATTTAGTATTTACTCTATGCTACTCATTGTTCTAAGTGCCTCATAATGCATTTATCCATTTAATCTAAATAGTAGCTGTATGAAGTATGTATTTATCCACTTAATCTAAATAGTAACTATATGAAGTACATATTCCTATTGTAAGATGAAGACTAGATTAGGACTTCAGTGCTTTTTACTAGCTATATTACCTTGGACAAGTTCTTAACTCCCCTTAGACTCACTTTCACTTTTAAAATGGATATATAATAATGATACTGCCTAATGCATTTTTAAAGAAAAGATTAATTATAAATGAGAGAAAATATTACATTTATAAATCTATGACAGGATGCCATGAAAAACATTCAGAGAACCAAAAACAACTCTTAAAAGTAAATATTTTTCAGTCATAAAGAAAAACTTATACATAAAACATTGAGTGATTAAATAAATTGTCCAAAAAATGGAATGAGAGGCAAAGAGAAAATAAGAAAGGAAAAATGGCTTATAGTCTTATAGAGTCAATCTAGGAGGTCTAATATTTAACTGAGATTTTCATTGAAGTGAGAATCCAGAAAACTCAGAGGAGAAATTATGAGTAAAACATACCAAGGAAATTCCTTTTAACAAATTGTTTTTGTGTAGAGATAGGTTCCCACTATGTTGCCCAGGGTGGTCTCAAACTCGGGGCCTCAAATAATCCTGCCTCAGCTTCCCAAAGTACTGGGATTGCAGGTGTGAGTCACCATGCCCAACCAAAATTTCTCAGAAATAAAATTGATAGTCTGAACATTAGCCAAGGGGTCTAGCACATGCCTGTAGTCCCAGCAACTTGGAAGGCTGAGGCAGAAGTAGCTCTCGAGTTAGAGCTTGCAGGGTGCTGTGATTGTGCCTGTGAATAGCCACTGCACTCCAGCCTGGGTAACACAGTGAGACATCATCTTAAAAAAAAAAGAAAAGTTAAACATGAACAGGGCATAGCGATATAACCAGATTAATCAATAAAGAGCCAGTACTAAGGTATTTTCAGAAGACCAGGGGAATTTTTTTCAATGCTCACAGAAAGAAAGAAAAAAAGGGGGGGAATCACATAAAAAGACATAGGAATCAGAATGGAATCAGTCTTCTGAACAGCAATTCTATATGCAGTCAATAAAAGGAGCAGTGCTTTTGAAATCTGAGGGAAAATTATTTTCAACCTAGAATGTTATGCCCAAACTATCAATCAAATAAAAAAAAAGAAAATAACAAAGCAAGCTCTCAAAAAGTTTTATTTCCTCTGTATCCATTTTTATGAAGGTACTGAGAGATGTGCATCAACAAAATAAGTGAGTAAACTAAGAAAGAAGAATGTACTGGATCTTATAAAAAAGGACCAACAAAGAAAAATATTTTTTAAAGTCCTAGGGTGACAGCCTATAGAGCAACCAGTATGAATGAAGTAGAGATCTGGGTGCAAGATCACCAAGAAATAAACATAATTGACAGGTATCTGATATATTTGAATATTTTGAGAAGAAAGAGATTCAAATTAGAGAATGTAAAGAAACTAATATTAGTAAATGGAAAATTATGTAAGTACAAAACAATTTTCAGTTCTAGGAAAAATGTTTCTCAAGAAAGGAAATTTAATCACACTACACTAATGTGTATTTTGAAGAAAGCTTAGCAATATGGACACTATTAGTTTAACTTAAAAAAAACTGTAGGCTGGGCACTGTGGCTCACGCCTGTAATCTCAACACTTTGGGAGGCTGAGGCAGGAGGATCAGCTGGGGTCAGGAGTTCAAGACAAGCCTGGCCAACATGGTGAAACCCCATCTCTACTAAAGCTACAAAACTAGCCAGGTGTGGTGGTGGGTGCCTGTAATCCCAGCTATTCAGGAGGCTGAGGCAGGAGAATCACTTGAACCTGGGAAGCAGAGGTTACAGTGAGCTGAGATCACACCACTGTACTCCAACCTGGGCGACAGAGTAAGACTCTGTCAAAAAGAAAAAAAAAACTGTAACAATTTTATTGGGAGAATAGGAGAAAGGGAATGTGCAGTGCTTATATTGGTTTACATTAGTTGAAAAGAAAGTTAAATCTTTTTTAAAAAATACATAGCAAGAAGTGATTAAAATGTAAAATGGAGTAGCAAGATTTAACAGCAAAAACATATCATTTAGAAGTATTGAGGTAATTCTAGAAGAAGCCACTCAATAGAAGGAGACTGGAAATTAAAGAAAATATTGTTCTGTTCTTTTCTTTTCTTTCTTTCTTTTTTTTTTTTTTTTTTTTTTTTTTGAGACGGAGTATCGCTCTGTCACCCAGGCTGGAGTGCAGTGGCAAGATCTTGGCTCACTGCAACCTCTGCCTCCTGGGTTCAAGTGATTCTCCTGTCTCAGCCTCCTGAGTAGCTGGGATTATAGGCACGCACCACCACACCCAGCTACTTCTTGTATTTTTTAGTGTAGATGGGGTTTCACTGTGTTGGCCAGGCTGGTCTTGAACTCCCAACCTCAGGTGACCCGCCCGCCTCAGCCTTCCAAAGTGCTGAGATTACAGGTGTGATCTAACCCACCCAGCCAAGCCACTGAGGCAGGCCTTGTTTTTCTTTCAACCTTTAGTTCATCTTGATTTTTACATTTGAAAATAATGAAATAAATTTACAAAATAAAAGGAAAAGTGAATATCTTTCCAACAGTCCACCAATATCCTCATCCCAAAATTATCAAAATGTTTTAATATTCCTATTTATTTTCATGCAGTTTATTACATTTTGTTTGGATTATAAGCCATGATCTCTCTCTCTCTCTATATATATATATACACACACAAAAGCATTAAAAATATTAGCCAAGTAAGTGTAGTATATTTAAGAAAATAATACAAGCACAAAGTTAGTATTGAAGTATAATATTGATCACAAAATAATATTTAATTTACCATGAGCACATTAATAATGAAATGTTTCTCTTTAAATGCTGTGATTTAGAACTAGATGATGTGGCTTTTTAAATGAATAAATAGAATGTTAGAATAAGGTTGGAAGGGCAGATATGACTTCTCCCATGAAGAAACTACAATACACAGGTGGTTAGGATCATAGGATGCAGACAGTGAAAAATACTAGGGGAGCCTGGGCACGGTGGCTCACGCCTGTAATCCCAGCTTTTTGGGAGGCTGAGGCGGGCGGATCACTGATATCAAGAGTTAGAGACCAGCCTGACCAACATGGTGAAACCCCGTCTCTACTAAAAATGCAAAATTAGCTGGGTGTGGTGGTGCACCTGTAATCCCAGCTACTCGGGAGGCTGAGGCAGGAGAACCCGGGAGGCAGAGACTGCAGTGAGCCGAGATCACGCCATTGCACACCAGCCTGGGCGACAAGAGTGAAACATCGTCTCAAAAAACAAAACAAAACAAAACAACCTAAGAGAAAAATCAAAGTCAGTTTTCTAGAATAAGAAATAATAATCAGTAAATTATTGTACACTTGGAAAGGATTAAAACCTTAAAATTATTCATTAGAAATGGATTAACTACCTGTTACTTAATATAAAAAGGATTTACAATGTTATTCACAATGATATGCAATACTTGAAAATTGAAAATAGGCCTGGCCGCCTGTAATCCCAGCACTTTGGGAGGCTGAGGGGAGTGCATCTCTTGAGCTCAGAAGTTAAAGGCCAGCCTAAGAAATATGGTGACGATCCGTCTCTACAAAAAATACAAGAAGTAGCCGGGCATGGTGGCGCACGCCTGTAGTCCCAGCTACTTGGAGGCGGAGGTGGGCTGGTCTCTTGAGCCCAGGAGGCAGAGGTTGCAGTGAGCTGAGATCCTGCCACTGACCTCTAGTCTGGGTGACTAAGACTCTGTATCAAAAAAAAGAAAAGAAAAGAAAAAAAAAAGGCCGGGCGCAGTGGCTCACACCGGTAATCACAGCACTTTGGGAGGCCGTGGCGGGTGGAACATGAGGTCAAGAGTTTAAAACCTGCCCGGCCAACGTGGTGAAACCCCGTCTCTACTAAAGATAAAAAAAAAAAAAATTTAGCCGAGCGTGGTGGTGGGCGCCTGTAATGCCAGCTACTCGGGAGGCTGATGCAGGAGAATTGCTTGAACCCGAGAGGCGGAGGGTGCAGTGAGCTGAGATCACACCATTGCACTCCAGCCAGGGCGACAGAATGAGACTCGGTCTCAAAAAAAAAAAAAAAATTGGGGGAGAAAAGAAAAAATTAAAAATACAATTAGTCGTATTGCATAATAACGTAACTAGTTTAAGACTAAATAATATTGATATGGTTACATAAAACTAAAAAAGTACATGCAAATGTAAATAGCATTCTTACTAAAAATTAAATCCAAAGCTATTTCGAAAGGTGGAGTTTTCTTCACTATTCTTCCCAAGACCTTTTGCCTGGATATTAGGGATAACCGGTTTTAGGAACTTGAATTCATTTGTCTCGGAACCTCCCGTCAGACACACCTCGTACTGGTAGCTCTGGGAAAGGGTCCCGGTGCCGCTCACGTCCACCAGATGCCCTGGAAAGGGGCCCTTAGGCACCGAGCAGCTTCCCACCGAGGCCGCCCTGCTCCTCCTGCACAGCCGCACCGCCACGAACAGGAGCACCGAGAAGAGGAAGAGCGAAGACACCGAGGCCAACGCCACCACCAAGTAGACGGTGAGCGAGTCGGCCTGGGCCTGGGCCGGTGCCGCCTCAGGGAGCGGCAGGTAGGGCTGGGAGAAGCCGTCCACCAGGAGCACTTGCAGCGTGGCGGTGGCCGAGCGCGGAGGCTCGCCATTGTCCTTGACCAGCACCACCAGCCTGTGCTTGGCCGCGTCGCGCTCGCTCAGCAGCCTGGCGGTGCGCACCTCGCCATTGTGCGCCCACACGCCGAATAGCCCGGGCTCCGTGGCCTTGAGCAGCTGGTACGACAGCCAGGCGTTCTGGCCCGAGTCGCCGTCCACCGCCACCACCTTGGTCACCAGGTAGCCCGGCTCGGCCGCCCGGGGCACCAGCTCGGTGCAGGGCGCGGAGCCGTTCTGCAGCGGGTACAGCACGAAGGGCGAGTTGTCGTTGGCGTCCAGCACCAGCACGCGCACCAGCGCCTCGCTGCTCAAAGCCGGGGAGCCGCGGTCTGTGGCGCCCACGCGGAAGTCGAAAGCCTGCAGGGCCTCGTAGTCCAGCGACCTGAGGGCGAACAGGTGGCCGTTGTCTGTGTTGATGGAGACCAGGGAGGCGAGGGGCAGGTGCAGGTCCTGGGGCGGGAGTAGCGAGTAGTTGACCTGGGCGTTGGTGCCTGAGTCTCTGTCTGTAGCGCTGACACTGCCGATGTGCAGGGCGGGGCTGTTGTTCTCGCGGACGAACAGGGTGTAGGAGGTTTGGGTGAAGGTGGGGGCGTTGTCATTGACGTCAGAGACCAACACAGTTGTGTTGTGCTCGGTTTTCAGCCTGGGTATCCCCAAGTCGGTGACGGTGATGGTGATATTGTACTCGGCTGTGCTCTCTCTGTCCAGTGGTCTCTCTGTTTCCAACGTGTAGTAATTCTCAACTGAAGATTTTAGCACGAATGGGAGGTCTTCCGGAATGGAACAAACAATTCTTCCGTTGTCCCCAGAGTCTATATCTTGGATACTAAAAACCATAACCACGGTCTCTGGCGTATTTTCTGGGATTGGACTGGTAATTGATGACACAGTGATTTCAGGAGCATTGTCATTTACATCTATCACGTGAATTATGACTGTAGATTTTCCAAAAAGTCCTCCCCCATCTGTGGCTTGAATGATTATTGAGTATGACTCAATCGTTTCAAAATCCAGAGGTGCTCTTAAAGTAATTTCTCCAGACTTTTGATTAATTTCAAATGTCTTGCGAATATCTTCTGAGGCATGGGAAAAGGTATAGCATATTTCACCATTTGTTCCAGAGTCTAAATCCCAAGCTGAGACAATCAAAATCAGCGAGCCAAGGATGCTATTCTCCCGAATCTTCACCTCATAAAAAGCCTGCTCAAATTCAGGGGAGTTGTCATTAATGTCCACAACCACCACCCTGACCAAGGCAGTTCCAGACCTGGGAGGGGACCCACCATCCAGAGCAGAGAGGATGAAACTGAGCTCCGGGAGCTCTTCATAATCCAGCGCCTTGTCCAGAACTAACTCGGGGTATTTCCTATTGTCTGGAATGACTCTCATTTTAATGTGAAAATGAGAGTTGGGGCTTATTGTGTAGCTTTTTACAGCATTGATTCCTACATCTAAATCCTTCGCACTTTCTAGTAAGAACACAGCACCAACGGGACTGTTCTCTGGGATTTCTAGGAGCATTTGTTTTTCCGAGAAGATGGGAGAGTGATCATTTATATCCCTGACCTGAAGCTCAATTTGTAAAAACTGCGTGGGGTTTTGCATTAACACCTGCAAATGTAGCACGCAAGGCTCGATGGAACCGCAGAGCTCCTCCCTGTCTAGTGTTTCACTTAAGAGCAAATCCCCAGTGTTTATGTCCAGCTGCAAACGCTGTTTCTTATCATTAGAGACCACCCGAGCCCCCCGTGAGGACAGTTCTCTCACCTTCAGCCCCAGGTCCTTTGCCAGATTGCCTACAAAACTCCCGCTCTGCATTTCTTCTGCCACAGAAAAGCTCCAGGTTTCAGAGCCCGCCTGAGACATTCCGAGCAAAACAAAGAGAAGCAGGACTTGCCTTATCTGCTGAGTGCGTGTCCCTTGGTTCTCCATAGTTCCTTTCTTGTAGGCTTCTTGAAGAAAGGCTTCAGCTCTGCGGAACGCGTCTCTGACTTGTCCACCAAATCCTCTGTGGTCTAAGGATTTTAACCCTGTTGAATGGTTTCCAGGTCACCCTCTTGAAGGCTTGTTGTTTCTGTCTTCTGATTCTCTGTGTGCACTGGATATCAGTGTTCACAACGCCATCCAGTGAATATATTTTTCACGATGTTATCCTGCAGCGCCACCAAGTGTCTCCATAGATTTTCACAGTTTGGTGAAAGCTACCTAAATTCCATTCACTTATATGTCCTCCGGAAACAAATATTGTTTTATTCATTGTGTTCAAGTGATTACAAATATATTGCACGTTCTGTAATAATTATTTCATATTCTCTTTAGTTTGATATGCTGTTAATATTCATCTTAAAGCATTTATCTTTCCCCCTTCTCCATACAACCAAACGTGCTTAGTTGTGGTGAATACAGAAATACAAGATGTGATTCCTGGCTCCCAGTGGTTTGTAATCTTTCTGAGAAGACTGGAAACATAAAACAACCATAATATTTTTAAGCTGTACAAAATTCTATCACTACTTGACTTTCCTTAGGTGGTAATGAAAAGGCAAACTATACATGGGTCATTTTAGAAGTCCTCTCAGAGGATATGAAACTGGATTAACCATGAGATGGGACATACTTTGATAGTTATGATAGCACAAGAAGGCATTTATATAGATTTCCTTGGTAGCAAGGAATTGTGAACTGCTAGAAAGTAAAGTAAGATATTGGGAGTAGAACACATTATGAGAATCCTTGATTTAGTTCCAGCTTCTCAAAAAATAATAAATACACAAGCACAAGCATGTTAGTTTCATTTAAAGCAGGCTTATTTCTAAGACTGCCCTCCCTCAGTTTCCCAAGATTTATTCCAGCAACATCTATGGCTATCTGCTTTGTTTTTCAGCTCAAGAAGACAGAATGAGAGATATTTTCTTCCTCAATAATAGAACAAAATCTTAGCCTTCATTCTGATTAGACCAACTGAGAGCACTTCAGCCTGTTACTGAAGAAATCAGTGTCTCAAGATGTATAGGATTAAAGGTAGAGATTATAGTCCCAGAATCTAAAGACTCCATCTTTGACCCTTTGTTTTAATCCAGGCAGAGATTGCCCCTTAAACTTGAGGTGGTTTCAGTCCTAGCCAAAGTGCATGGCATAATGAGGGAGATAGTTGGAATAGGTGCTTGGAAACTACCAATGGTATCCACTGTTAGACATCTCAAAGTACTCTCAATAATGGAGGACATCTAAGAAGTCTGCTTTTAAAAATTCTAATTTCAAATTACATTCACAAAAATGTGAACTAGATACATGGTTGAAAAATTATCAGTGCAGAAGAGTAGAAATTGAATAGTATGTGGATTGACTATACAATTATCCTTCCTTCTTCTTAACCCCTCTCTAAAATGACAGAAAAGTAATAAAAGGTATGAATTCACAAAGACTAAGAATACATAAGTAAATACACAAATTATTTGATGATAGAAAGCAGATGAAAGAGCAATTGACAATAGTTCCAAGAAATGTCTAAAATAAAGTTCCTTCATTGGAGATACTAAAAATAAACTACTGGGTTTTCCCTACACAATCCTAGTAGGTACCAGACTTGGAGGAACCAGGTGTATAAGAAGGCTGAAGTCAAGTAAGGGCTTAAAAAAGAAGTTATTAGTTGAAAGTATGTATGTAGGATAGTTGAATTCTCTGGTCTTTTCACCATCATACAGAGACAAGAAAATAACTGAGAGCCAGAGAATGGAAAGCTTATACTCTGGAGAAATTAGATTATATTCTGGAGAAATTATACTATCTCCAGTCTTGGAAACCCCAGGCAGAGCTGAGTGAAAGTAGGAGGTATGAAACTAAAGATAGGGAGATTAGGCAAAACACTGCCTTCTGTATTGTGAGACTCCTAGCCATGATACTCTCAGATTGTAGGACACAAGATATATGCCTGACATCTTCCCCATCGCACCCAAAACATTGAATATTGTAGAATTCTATCCTGGGGAATATGAAAGGCGCAGATAAAGACTTACATGTACTGATATGTGGGGGTTTCCCAAGGTAGTAGCTCTATCCTAGCATGGTTACATTAGAGTGAAGCCCTGTCATCAATACTCATGAAGTGTTGACTGTCAGCATTTGCTGTGTCACCATTCATATATATAATAAGACAGTCAAAGATAACAAGACATTTGAGAAAATGCCTACAACATGAAATAGAAAAGCCAAAACTGTAATACTACCGCCAAGCACAAAAAGCAACAGGAGGGAATAGATATAATTCAGAAAACAAAAGAAAGCCTTTTAAAATGTCTGATTAGTATCCCCAGAGAAACAAAATGTAATAAGAGCTAACACTTATTGACTTATTCTAAGTTCATTATTCTAGTGCCTCATATGGATTTACCTAGTTGATGTTAACAGTAACCCTATCAAGTACGTATTTATACCTGGAAGACAAAGAATAGCTTAGGGCTTAAGTGCCCCTTACTAGCTATATAGCCTTAGGCAAATTCTTAACTTCCCTTTGATTCACTTGCAAGTTTAAAATAGGTATAATAATAACTCTTACTATATAATGCATTTTTAAAGAATAAATAGATTAATTATAGATGAAAGAAGATTTACATTTGCAAATTTGTAATAGGATGTTATGAAAAACCAAGAGCTCTTAAAAATAAATATTTGCTATCCAAAAAGAAAAACTTAAATATGGAGATTGGATGATTAAATAAATTGTCTAATAAGTAGAACAAGAGATGGAAAAGAAGAAAAAAATTATAATTTAGAGTCTCAGAAAATCAACACAGGAGGTGCAATATTTAATGAGATTCTGGTTAAAGTGAGACTGTAGAAAACTCAATGGATAAATTATTACTAAAACATAACAAGAAAATTTCTCAGAACTTACAGTAAGAGTCTATATGTTAACAGGGTATGCCTGCATGGCCAGATTAATAAATAAAATGCCTGTATTAAGGTCTTTTCAGATTACCAGGAAAAAGTTTTTCAATGCTTCCAGGAAAGGAGGTAAGAGAGAAGGACACAAAGAGAGATGGAATCAAAATCAAGTCAGTCTTCTGAAGAAACTCGACATGCAATGAGTAAAAGAGACAGCTTCAGCTTTCAAAATTTGAGGGAAAATTATTTTCAAACTAGAATTTTATACCCAGTCAAACTATCAAGCAAATGAAAACAAACAAAAAAGATGTCTTCACAATGTAAGGAGACAATTTTTTAAAAATCTCTTCTGCATTCGTTTATATGAAGGTCTTGAGAGATGCGTGCCAGCTGAATAAGAGAGTAAACTAGAAAAAAGAGTATACTGGACCTTGGAAAAGTAGACTCATACAGGAAAGTATTGAAGGGAAAAAGTCCCAGGGTAACAGTCTATAGATTAACCAGTCTAAATGAAACAGGAAACTCACGATGAAAGAGCTCCTGAAAATAAATGTCATTGACAGAGTATCTTAAAAATTGGAATATTTTTAAGGAGAAAATACATTCAAATGAAAGATATGGAAAAAAACAATAGAGGTACATAGAAAATAATGCAAGTATGAAATAACAATTACGAACTCTAGGAACCATACTTTTCAAGTATGGAAATGTAATTCTAGTACAGTATACAAATGCATATTCTGAAGCATGTAACAATATAGATAATAACCACTAATTTAACTAAGAAACTGTGACATCTATATTGGAGAATAGGAGAAAAAGAATTTGCAATGTTTGCATATGTTTGTTAGTTTGGAAATAAAGCTAAAATGCTTTTCTATTATAGAAAGAAATGGTTCAAATACAAAACAATATCAAGATATAGTATTATAAACATATTATTTATAAATATTGAGATCAATTCAAGAAGAAACCACACTGTGGTAAGGGACTGGCAGAACAGCTAACTTAAAAAACTATAAAATGTTAGTTATATATAGTATATATTTTATATATAGTAATATAAAAAAACTGATGAAACTTGTTTTTCATTCTAACCTTTAGTTCCTCTTGCTTATTAAAAATTTGGTATTTAAAATAAATTTGCAACATATAAATGAATATCTCCAGCAATCTCAACCACACATTTCAAAATGTTTTATTTTTATTCATTTTCAGGCAGATTATAATTTTATTTCAATTATAAGGCATAGTCTGTTTTATACATCAGCAAAAGTTAACATAAGAAAATATTGGCCAAGTAAAAGTAGCATGCTTAAAGATAAAATAATAAGTATATAAACTAAGGGTATTATTGATGTTCAGTATTGCTCACAATATGCTTTGTTTCATTTTGTCATGAGCATAGTAGTAGAGAAATATTTCTTTTTAAATACATGATGTAGAAATAAATGACATGGTTTTCAAACACGAATATATAGAATGTTAGAATGAGTTTGGAAATGTAGATATGCCTTCTTAAATAGAGCAAGTACACTATAGACAGAAGTGATTAGAATCATGAGATGCAAGCTCTGAAATGAATCAAAACCTCAGATTTCTGTAATGAGATATAATAGTAATTAATTCCTTGGGCAGTTGGAAAGAATTAAAACCTTAACACTATCATTTAGAAAAAAATACTCATTAAATTAAACCCAGTTGTTATTAATGCAAAAAAATGATGAAACATTGTAAAACCACAGGGGTATACTACTTGAAAATAATGCTTGAAGTTGCATAATAACTTAAATTTGAGATTTAAAAGTAAACTAATAGAAACATGGCTATGTAACACACCAAAAGTATATGAAACTAAAAACAGACTTTACTGAATATTAAATCCAAAGCTATTTCGGAAGGTGGAATTTTCTTCACCCTTCCTCCCAGGGCCCTGTGCCTGAATATCCGAAATAACTGGTTTCAAGAACTTGAACTCACTGGTCCCGGGGCCTCCCGTCAGACACACCTCATACTGGTAGCTCTGGGACAGGGTCTCAGCGCCCCTCACGTCCACCAGATGCCCTGGAAAAGGACCCTCGGGCACCGAGCAGCGACCCACCGAGGCCGCCCTGCTCCTCCTGCACAGCCGCACCGCCACGAACAGGAGCACCGAGAGGAGGAAGAGCGAAGACACCGAGGCCAACGCCACCACCAGGTAGACGGTGAGCAAGTCGGCCTCGGCCTGGGCCTGGGCCGGGGCCGCCTCCGGGAGAGGCAGGTAGGGCTGGGAGAAGCCGTCCACCAGGAGCAAGTGCAGCGTGGCGGTGGCCGAGCGAGGAGGCTCGCCATTGTCCTTGACAAGCACCACGAGCCTGTGCTTGGCTGCGTCGCGCTCGCTCAGCAGCCTGGCGGTGCGCACCTCCCCATTGTGCGCCCACACACCGAACAGCCCGGGCTCCGTGGCCTTGAGCAGCTGGTACGACAGCCAGGCGTTCTGGCCCGAGTCGCCGTCCACCGCCACCACCTTGGTCACCAGGTAGCCCGGCTCGGCCGCCCGGGGCACCAGCTCGGTGCAGGGCGCGGAGCCGTTCTGCAGCGGGTACAGCACGAAGGGCGAGTTGTCGTTGGCGTCCAGCACCAGCACGCGCACCAGCGCCTCTCTGCTCAGCGCGGGGGAGCCGCGGTCTGTGGCGCCCACGCGGAACTCGAAAGCCTGCAGGGCCTCGTAGTCCAGCGACCTGAGGGCGAACAGGTGGCCGTTGTCCGCGTTGATGGAGACCAGGGAGGCGAGGGGCAGGTGCGGGTCTTGGGGCGGCAGCAGCGAGTAGGTGACCTGGGCGTTGGTGCCCGAGTCTCTGTCTGTGGCGCTGACGCTGCCGATGTGCAGGGCGGGGCTGTTGTTCTCGCGGACGAACAGGGTGTAGGAGGTTTGGGTGAAGGCGGGGGCGTTGTCATTGACGTCGGAGACCAGGACCGTTATGTTGTGCTCGGTTTTCAGCCTGGGTGTCCCCAAGTCAGTGACGGTGATAGTGATGTTGTACTCGGCTCTGATCTCTCTGTCCAGCGCGCCTTCTGTAATTAGGATGTAAAAATTCTCCACAGAAGGTTTTAGTAGGAATGGCAGATTCTCTTGAATGTAGCAAACCATCTTTCCATTTTCTCCAGAGTCTCTGTCATTAATCTTAAAAACAGCCAGCGGCGTCTCAGGAGAATTCTCAGCAACAGAGTTGGAAAATGATGATACGATCAGTTCAGGGGGATTGTCATTGGTGTCCAATACTTCCACTAAAACCCTACATCTTGCAGAAAGGCCTCCACCGTCCATTGCCTGTATATTTATTTTGTAAGAATTTACTAACTCATAATCAAGCAATTCTCTGAGAAAGATTTCCCCAGAAAAAGGATTGATTTGAAAGGTTGTTCGAATATTTTCTGAGGCATCAAAAAATGAATAGGATACTTCCGCGTTGACTCCAGAGTCTACATCTTCTGCCCATACCTTAACAATAAGGAACCCAATGGGGCTGTTTTCTGGAGCCTGGGTCTCATACAGAGCCTGGGCAAACTGTGGGGCATTGTCATTGACGTCCAAGACAACGATGCGTACAGTAGAGGTCCCAGACCTGGATGGAGACCCACCATCCAGCGCTGTGAGGGTTAAGCTGAGCTCTCCCTGCTCCTCCCGATCCAGTGCTTTGTCCAACACTAGCTCTGGATATATCATGCCTTCATCACCGCCACTAATGTTAATATGGAAAAAAGAGTTGGGGCTGATCGTGTAGTTTTGGATACCGTTAAGTCCTCCATCTGGATCCTGTGCTCTTTCTAGTCTAAATGCTGTCCCTTCAGCTGTATTTTCTGATATTTTTAAGACTGTTTCTTTGTCCTGAAATACTGGCGCGTGATCATTTATATCCCTGACTCTCAGCTCAGCCCGGTAAATCTGAAAGGGATCATCCATTAAAATTTGGAAATACAGCATACAGGGCTCTTTAGGGCCACACAGCTTCTCTCGGTCCAGTTTCTCATTTGTGAGCAAATTCCCGGTATGTGAATCCAGGAGCAGGTATTGTTTGTTATCATCGGAAACCACCCTGGTTCCCCTTGCAGCCAGCTCCCCCTCTGCTAGTCCCAGATCCTTTGCCAGATTGACCACAAAGGATCCTTTCTCTGTTTCCTCAGTCACCGAATAACGTCCAAACCCAGAACCTGCCAAGGACACTCCCCAAAAAAGAAAAAGAAACAGGACTTGCCTTTGTCTTGGGAAGCACAACTCTCTGACAGCCATAGCTGCTGCATACGTTATTTCCTAGTTGGTTACAGCCACAGCTCCCAGCATAAAAGAACAGCAGTAGGAAACCCTGCACCTACGCCGTGTAGCCCAGGGGTCTTTTTTGTCCTTTCCCTTTCCCAATCTTTGGCAGCTAAAGCTTCTCTTTTAAGTTCATCTGTCCGTGTCTTCCTTTATTAGTGACTTGCATAGCATCCTCAGAGCAATTCCCAAACCGTCTCTTTAGCCTGCAGCGCCACCGTGTGGCCTCCACCAGATTTCAGTAGTTGTACCCATTTGGGTGTGTGTATTCAGACAATTTCCTTTAGTGCCTCATTTAAATTTTTCATGTTTATTTTCGTTTGTCTTGTAAAAATTAATGTTGAGACAGAGAAATAGTCACATTGTTGAGATTCTTCAATTCTTTTTGGGAAAAGTTAAAAATTCAACACTTGAAAATATGTTTCTAGCAATAACTCTGTCCACCTCACTGTGCTAAATTTAGCTCTCTACTAGTCCTTTCATCTCAGACACAACTCTCACACAATGTCAAGAATCAAAGGGAAAATGTTGCTGACATCTGGGATCACCAAAGTAACAGGAGATTTTACTTTTCCAGAAACATCGGGATAAGAACACCAAAACAGACAAAGAAAATATGTTTCACACCTTCCTCAACAAACTTCAAAATCTCATCACACTGATTAAGGAGAATCATCACTCTGTAATCTTGTATAATGCATTTAAGCTGTCCCTCCTCTATTCTCTCATAAAAACTTGTGTATACAACTATGATTGCCCTGCAAATATTATTGCTTCTTAATTCATGCAAATCTATTTCTTCTTCAATGTGTGGGCTACTTAAGGATAGGAACTATGTCCTAATCATCTGTGAGTGACAAATCAGACAAGCAATAAATACTGCCTGTATTAGGACATGCATAAATAAACTCAGATGGGTAGAACCTGAAACGTTTTCCAGTGCCTTTCAATTCCGACCACTTGAAAGTTTTTTTCTTTCATTTACTCTTTGCAATTTCTGTTTCCTTACTTTCACTTGTCTTTGTTTTTCTTGTATTAGCTTTAAAGTAACTTACAGGGTTAAATAAGAGATTGATCCTTATTTTAAGGTCCCCTCTTAATTGAAATTTAGCAGGATCTAACTTCTCTGCACCAAATAAAGGGAGGTAAAGAACAGACCACACTAACACCTATCTTAACACTATTAAAATTAAGAACAGCATTCTAGTGTCTTTTTTCATAGAATTTTATTCAAAGTTCTTTTTAAGTTATTTTATATTTTATTTTATTTTATTTTGATGGAGTTTTGCTCTTATTGCCCAGGCTGGAGTACAATGGTGCAATCTCGGCTCAAAGCAACTTCCACCTCCTGGGTTCAAGCGATTCTCCTGCCTCAGCCTCCCGAGTAGCTGGGATTACAAGCATGTGCCACCATGCCTGGCTAATTTTGTATTTTTAGTAAAGACGGGGTTACTTAACGTTGGTCAGGCTGGTCTCAAACTCGTGACCTAAGGTGATCTGCCCGCCTTGGCCTCCCAAAGTGCTGGGATTACAGGAATGAGCCACTGAGCCCTGCCTCAAAGACCTTATATCTAGAAAGAAGCTCTATTTTGTCTATAATAGGCCCAAATGGATTAAGTCAAGGAATGTCGTGGAGGAAAAGGCTAGACACTACCAATAACACTCTAATAGCTGAATATAAAAGCCGCACAATATAAACCTCTACTTTGTGATTGCTGTTGTTTTTTCAACTGGATGGCACTGGGCTATTAGCCATTAAAAATTTAACAGGAACCTCAGGAACCTCTGATTTGTTTATACAGAATTAAAAGGAGCAAATTAAATATTTTCACATGATCCTATAGAATGACTAAATTTTTTTTTTTTTTTTGGTTTCCAGACTAAAGCCCATTTACACACGCTTAATATCTTGCAGTGGTTTTTCTTCTAAGGCTAATTAGGGGTTTATTTATCATATCACTTACAAGAGAAACATTATATTTCAAATAGGGAACTATCAATGCCGGGAAACTAGAACTTTAAAATAAAAGGTAAAGTTTAAGAAAATTATTGTAGGCTGGGTGCGGTGGCTCATGCCTGTAAATCCCAGCAATTTGGGAGGCTGAGTGGGGTGGATCACGAGGTCAAGAGATAGACCATCCTGGCCACCATGATGAAACCCGTCTCTACTGAAAATACAAAAATTAGCCGAACGTGGTGACATGCAACTGTAGTCCCAGATACTCTGGAGGCTGAGGCAGGAGAATCGCTTGAACCTGGGAGGCGGAGGTTGCAGTGAGCTGAGATCGCGCCACTGCACTCCAGCCTGGGCGACAGAGCGAGACTCCGTCTCAAAAAAAAAAAAAACAAACAAACCAAAAAACAAACAAACAAACAAAAAACAGTTGTAATGAACAAGGATGGCAAACCAATAAGAACACCGGTTTCAAAAGAAAAATAGAAGAAATATCAAATAGTAAAAGCACATATTACATGCAGCAGACTATTTTAACAAGTAAAAAGTTTTAGGAAAAGAAGAACTAATGAATAATGTAGAGGCAATGAATTTAAAGTCAATAAAGACATTTAAAACGACCAAAAATTTTTAAATGATATCAACTTTGAAAAATATTATATTTCACTTATGGGATTCTAGTAAGAAATGCCTCATCAGGATACAAAATAAGAAAAAGTTAACTTGTGAAGTTAAGCATAATACGCAAAGTTGAAGATGAATCAAACAAAAAATAGTACCTTCTTTGTGGTGGGCATACACAATTTAGTTAGCCAACAAGAATATATTAAAGAAGTAAATGTCTTTATTAAGTGGGTTCCTTTCAATAATTAAATCCAAAGCTATTGGGGAGAGTAGAATTTTCCTCTATTTCTTTCCCACCCCTATGGGGCGGGAGGTGGGGGGTAATCGGCTTCAAGAACTTGAACTCGCCGGTCTCTGAACCTCCAGTCAGACACACCTCGTACTGGTAGCTCTGGAACAGGGTCCCGGTGCCGCTCACGTCCACCAGATGCCCTGGAAAAGGACCCTCGGGCACCGAGCAGCGACCCACCGAGGCCGCCCTGCTCCTCCTGCACAGCCGCACCGCCACGAACAGGAGCACCGAGAGGAGGAAGAGCGAAGACACCGAGGCCAACGCCACCACCAGGTAGACGGTGAGCAAGTCGGCCTGGGCCTGGGCCGGGGCCGCCTCCGGGAGAGGCAGGTAGGGCTGGGAGAAGCCGTCCACCAGGAGCACGTGCAGCGTGGCGGTGGCCGAGCGAGGAGGCTCGCCATTGTCCTTGACAAGCACCACCAGCCTGTGCTTGGCCGCGTCGCGCTCGCTCAGCAGCCTGGCGGTGCGCACCTCCCCATTGTGCGCCCACACACCGAACAGCCCGGGCTCCGTGGCCTTGAGCAGCTGGTACGACAGCCAGGCGTTCTGGCCCGAGTCGCCGTCCACCGCCACCACCTTGGTCACCAGGTAGCCCGGCTCGGCCGCCCGGGGCACCAGCTCGGTGCAGGGCGCGGAGCCGTTCTGCAGCGGGTACAGCACGAAGGGCGAGTTGTCGTTGGCGTCCAGCACCAGTACGCGCACCAGCGCCTCGCTGCTCAAAGCCGGGGAGCCGCGGTCTGAGGCGCCCACGCGGAAGTCGAAAGCCTGCAGGGCCTCGTAGTCCAGCGACCTGAGGGCAAACAGGTGGCCATTGTCCGCGTTGATGGAGACCAGGGAGGCGAGGGGCAGGTGTGGGTCCTGGGGCGGCAGCAGCGAGTAGGTGACCTGGGCGTTGGTGCCTGAGTCTCTGTCTGTGGCGCTGACACTGCCGATGTGCAGGGCGGGGCTGTTGTTCTCCCGGACGAACAGGGTGTAGGAGGTTTGGGTGAAGGCGGGGGCGTTGTCATTGACGTCGGAGACCTGCAGGGTTATGCTGTGCTCGGTTTTCAGCCTGGGTGTCCCCAAGTCAGTGACGGTGATGGTGATGTTGTACTCAGCTTTGCTCTCTCTGTCCAGTGCACCTTCAGTCATTAGGATGTAAAAATTGTCAACAGACGGTTTCAGAAAAAAAGGCAGATTATCTTGAACATAGCAAATTGTCTTTCCATTTTCTCCGGAGTCTCTGTCTTTAATCTTAAAAACAGCCAATACTATCCCAGGAGAGTTTTCAGCAACAGAGTTGGAAAGTGATGATATGATCAGTTCAGGAGGATTGTCATTGGAATCTAATACTTTTATCAAAACTGTACATCTTGCAGAAAGGCCTCCGCCGTCCATTGCCTGTATATTTATTTTGTAAGAATTTACTAACTCATAATCAAGCAATTCTCTGAGAAAGATTTCCCCAGAAAAAGGATTGATTTGAAACGTTGTTAAAATATCTTCAGAAGCATCAAAAAATGAATAGGATACTTCTGCATTGACTCCTGAGTCTGCATCTCCTGCAGACACTTTAACAATAAGGGACCCTACTGGACTGTTTTCTGGAGCCTGGGTCTCATACAGAGCCTGGGCAAACTGTGGGACATTGTCATTGACATCCAAGACCACAATGCGTATAGTGGAGGTCCCAGACCTGGATGGAGACCCACCATCCAGCGCTGTGAGGGTTAAGCTGAGCTCTTCCTGCTCCTCCCGATCCAGTGCTTTGTCCAACACTAGCTCTGGATATATCATGCCTTCATCACTGCCACTAATTTTAATATGGAAAAAAGAGTTGGAGCTGATCGTGTAGTTTTGGATACTGTTATGACCTTCATCTGGATCCTGTGCTCTTTCTAGTCTAAATGCTGTCCCTTCAGCTGTATTTTCTGATATTTTTAAGACCATCTCTTTGTGCCGAAACACTGGCGAGTGATCATTTATATCCCTGACTCTCAGCTCAGCCCGGTAAATCTGAAAGGGATCATCCATTAAAATTTGGAAATACAGCATACAGGGCTCTTTAGGGCCACACAGCTTCTCTCGGTCCAGTTTCTCATTTGTGAGCAAATTCCCGGTATGTGAATCCAGGAGCAGGTATTGTTTGTTATCATCGGAAACCACCCTGGTTCCCCTTGCAGCCAGCTCCCCCTCTGCTAGTCCCAGATCCTTTGCCAGATTGACCACAAAGGATCCTTTCTCTGTTTCCTCAGTCACCGAATAACGTCCAAACCCAGAACCTGCCAAGGACACTCCCCAGAAAAGAAAAAGAAACAGGACTTGCCTTTGTCTTGGAAAGCTGAACCCCCTGGTCTTCATAGCTGCTTCTTTCCTCAATGTCAGTCTCAATCACACTGCCCCAGCACAAATAGCAATCGCAAACCCAGACTTATGTGTACCAGAGATCTAGGGTTTTTAATTTTTCCTTTCCCAATCAGGGACTCGACAGCTCTTCTTCTCAGCCCATCTGTCTCAGTGTTTCCTTTTTGTCAAGGACTTCCGTAGCATTCTGGTCAATTTTGTTCCTCCGTCTCTTCAGTCTGCAGCGCCACCTTGTGGCTTCCAACACAGTCAAATGGCTGTGCCCAATTTTTGTGTTTATTTAAAAATTCTTCATTGCTTCATGAGAAAAGATAAAAATTGAACAGTTGAAAAAATGTTTCTAGCAGTAACCCTGTTCAACTCTGTGTTAGATTTAGCTGTGTTAGGCCTTTCGCCTCTGACACAACTCTTACGCAAACAAAGGGAAAATTGTGGGTGCCTTCTGGAACCACCAAAATAATCAATTTCACTGTCTCAAAAGCTTTGGGCATAGGAACACCAAAAATTAACAACAATAAAAAAAACTTGTTTCACATCTTCTTCAACAAATGTCTTCAAGATCTCAGATTGCCTAACTAGAATCACCGCTCTGTAGTCCAGAACCAAGCATTAGGCTGTCTTTCCATTGTGCTTCTCTAAAACTTACGCATACAACTATGTTTACTCTATAAATATTATTGCTTCTTGTTTCAGGCCAGTTTGCCCCTTCATCAATGTGTGAACTACTTGAGAACAACTATGTCTTAGTCATCTTTGGTTGGCAAATTAGCCACTCACTAAATGCTGGCTATATTAAGGCATGCATAAATAAACTAGTGAGTAGGACATGAAACAAAATTCAGTGCCTTTCGATCTCTGCCATTTGAAAATTGTTTTCTTTAATTTACTCATACTTTGCAATTTGTTTTTTTTTTTTCTTAGATTAGCTTTAAAGTAACTTGCAGAATTAAAGAAGGGACTGACCTTTATTTTCAAGTCCCTTTTAGTGGAAATCTAGTAGGCCCTAATTTCTCTGAACCAAATAAGCGGAGGTAAAGAACAGATCAAACTAACACCTATCCTAACACTATTGAAAGTGAAAACAAATTATTAAATCTGACTCACATAGAATTTTATTCAAAGGCCTAATATCTAGAAAGAAGCTCAACTTTACATATAATAAGCAAGAAATACAGATTAAACATAGGGATATTTTACAGAGAAAGGGCTAGATACCGCCAATGTATACTATGATGAATATAAAAGCCAAACCATGTAAATGTCTCTTTGATAAGTTTTTTTTCCAACTTAATGAGATTGAGTTGTTAGCCATTAAAAATATAACAGGGACCTCTGATTTTTTAATTCAGTAATAGAAAGAATAAATTATTAAATATTTTTACATAATACCTTTGCCTTTTGTCTACAAACACAAACACATTTACACATACTGAATGTCTTACAATGGCTTCTCTTTTTATTTTTAGATAAGGCTGGTTAAAGATTTCTCATATCACTTACAATAGGAATATTTTATTTTATTTAAGGAGATACCAATACAGGGAAAATAGAACTTTTTTTTTAAAGGTAACTTTACGAGACTCCATCTCAAAAAAATAAATAAATAAAACTTTGGATGGGCACATTGGCTTATGCCTGTAATCCCAGAATTTTGGGAGGCTGAGGAGGGAGGATGGCTTGAGCCCAGGAGTTCAAGATCAGCCTGGGCAACTTGGCAAAATCCCATCGCTGCAAAAGATTAGCCAGGCATGGTGGCATGCACCTATAGTCCAAGCTACTTGGGAGGCTGAGGTGGAAGGATCCGTTGGGCCCAGGAGGCAGAGGTTGCAGTGAGCCAAGATTGTACCACTGCACTCCAGCCTGGGTGACAAGAGTAAGACCCTGTCTCAAAAAGGAAAAAAAAAAAAAGAAAGAAAAGAAAAGAAAGAAAGAAACTTTAAGAAAAGTATTATAATGAAAATTGAGCCCAACAAAAATACCAATTTTGAAAGGAAAATAGACAAAAGAAATGTAACATAGGAAATATGCCTAATACATGCAACAGGTTATTTTAATACTTGAAGTTCTAGGAAACTGAGAAGTAACATGAAAAATGGAGCAAAAAATGAATAGGAAGTAAATAAAATATAAAGACGGAAAAATTTTAAATGACATCAACTTTGAAGATAAAGTATATTTTGTTAATTGGGATTCTATATGCAACACCTCTTCGGGGTAAATATGAGGAAAAGGGAAACTGGAATTAACAATATAATTTGAACTAACAATCAGAGAAAAATACCTTATTGGTGGTGGTGAGCATGAACAATTTAATCAACAAGACAATCATAAGAAGTTAAGGAATTTATCAAATGGGTTCCTATCAATAATTAAATCCAAAGCTATTGTGAAGGGTGGAATTTTAATCTATTTCTTTCCTAGTGCCCTAAGGAGAGAAGTTGGGGATAATCGGCTTCAGGAACTTGAACTCACTTGTTTCTGAGCCTCCTGTCAGACACACCTCGTATTGGTAGCTCTGGGACAGGGTCCCGGTGCCGCTTACGTCCACCAGACGCCCTGGAAAGGGGCCCTCAGGCATCGAGCAGCGGCCCACCGAGGCCGCCCTGCTCCTCCTGCACAGCCGCACCGCCACGAACAGGAGCACCGAAAAGAGGAAGAGCGACGACACCGAGGCCAACGCCACCACCAGGTAGACAGTGAGCGAGTTGGCCTGGGTCTGGCCGGGGGCCGCCTCTGGGAGCGGCAGGAAGGGCTGGGAGAAGCCGTCCACCAGGAGCACGTGCAGCGTGGCGGTGGCCGAGCGCGGAGGCTCGCCATTGTCCTTGACCAGCACCACCAGCCTCTGCTTGGCTGCGTCGCGCTCGCTCAGCAGCCTGGCGGTGCGCACCTCGCCATTGTGCGCCCACACACCGAACAGCCCGGGCTCCGTGGCCTTGAGCAGCTGGTACGACAGCCAGGCATTCTGGCCCGAGTCGCCGTCCACCGCCACCACCTTGGTCACCAGGTAGCCCGGCTCGGCCGCCCGGGGCACCAGCTCAGTGCAGGGCGCGGAGCCGTTCTGCAGCGGGTACAGCACGAAGGGCGAGTTGTCGTTGGCGTCCAGCACCAGCACGCGCACCAGCGCCTCTCTGCTCAGCGCGGGGGAGCCGCGGTCTGTGGCGCCCACGCGGAACTCGAAAGCCTGCAGGGCCTCGTAGTCCAGCGACCTGAGGGCGAACAGGTGGCCGTTGTCCGCGTTGATGGAGACCAGGGAGGCGAGGGGCAGGTGCGGGTCTTGGGGCGGCAGCAGCGAGTAGGTGACCTGGGCGTTGGTGCCCGAGTCTCTGTCTGTGGCGCTGACGCTGCCGATGTGCAGGGCGGGGCTGTTGTTCTCGCGGACGAACAGGGTGTAGGAGGTTTGGGTGAAAGTGGGGGCGTTATCATTGACATCTGATATCTGCACTGTTATGTTGTGCTCCGTTTTCAGCCTTGGAGTCCCCATATCTGTGACGGTGAGGGTGATATTATATTCAGCTCTTGCTTCTCTGTCGAGTGCTCTCTCCGTTACCAAGGTGTAAAAGTTCTTGACTGAAGGTTTTAGAAGAAAGGGAAGGTCTTCCTGGATGGAGGAAATCGTCTTCCCATTGTTTCCGGAGTCAGGATCTGAAACGCTGAAAACAGCAACTACTATCTCAGGCGAGTTCTCTGGGATGGGGCTGGTGAGTGCAGACATGGTCACCTGTGGGGGATTGTCATTCACGTCCACCACCTGCAGGAGAAGAGTGCACTTTCCTGAAAGACCTCCCCCATCTGTGGCTTTGATGCGCACTTCATAAGACGTAACCATTTCGAAATCTACTTGCTTTCTCAGTCGAACTTCCCCTGTCATAGGATTTACCTCCAAAGTTTTACTAATATCCTCCGAAGGCTGAAAGAGTGTGTATGATATTTTTCCATTGGCTCCGCCGTCTAAATCCCTGGCGGAGACGGTGGCAACCAGGGAGCCAAGAGGACTGTTCTCTGGAATCTGCACTTTGTAGATGGGCTGCTCAAACTCAGGAGCGTTATCATTGATGTCCACCACTTCAATACGGACCTGAGCAGTTCCAGATCGCGGTGGAGAGCCACCATCCAGCGCTGTCAGGGTTAATCTTAGTTGAGGCTCCTCCTCCCGATCCAGCTCTTTATCCAACACTAGCTCAGGGTATTTCCTGCCATCTCTGAATTCATGGATTAGAACCCGGAAATGAGAGCTTGGGCTGATTTTATAGTTTTGAACATTATTGCTTCCTACGTCCAAGTCCAAAGCATGATTCAGAGGGAACTCAGTTCCTAGAGGACTGTTTTCCGGTATTTTTAGAATCATTTCCTTTTCAGTGAACATGGGAGAATGGTCATTTATATCTATCACCCTCAGTTCAGCCTGAAATATTTCTAAAGGGTTTTCCATTAACACTTGGAAATGTAGTATGCAAGGCTCAGTGGGACCGCATAGCTCCTCTCGATCTAGCTTCTCATTTATGAGCAAATCCCCAGTTTGAGCCTTGAGCTGCAAATGCTGTTTGTTCCCCTGGGAAATGATCCTGGCCTTGCGGGTGGACATCTCTGTCAACCCCAACCCCAGGTCTTTTCCTAGATTTGCCACAAAAGAGCCTCTCTCCGTTTCTTCCACTACGGAATAGGACCCCAACTCGGCGCCCGCCCCAGACAAGCTCAGCAAAACAAAGAAAACAAGGACTTGCCTTTGTCTCCGATTGTGCATCCATCCAATCTCCATTGCTTTTTCTTGAAAAGTTGGTTCACAGAAGCTTCATGTATCCCCAGGATCCTAGTAGAACTGTTTTGCAGTCCAGAATGTCAGAACCAAGCAGCCCAACGGTGTCTTAAAGAGGTTTCACACTCACGTTCGCTCTGGCTCAGCTATTCTTCTGCTTCCAGGCTTTGGGAAACGGTTTGCTGGATCCTGGAGCTGCGTAGGCAGTTGTATTTTCCGTCATCTTAACCTGCAGCGCCACCACGCGTTCTCACTGAGTCTTTTACTGTGGTTGAATATTGGAGGCAAAATACTTCTAAATGTACTGAATAGACTATGTAATACAAAACACTGAGTTCTATTTTCATGTGACTTTCGTGTATACAGATGGAGCTCTGTGATGTTGTACAGGGAGGAGTACAAAGAGAAGACTGTCATTTATGTTATTGACTGTTTAATGCTGTTGAGATTAATGATTAAATAAAATTCAATGAACATTTAACCAGACATAGAATACACACTTAGAAGCAAAATTTTTCTGAAGTAACATGAGAACAGTTTCACAAGTACATCTTTTTCATGGTACCTATATAGACACTATGAGTAGACACTGCAAAATTGCAATCAGTGGTAGTTCTAAAGAGTATTTAACAATTGCTTTATTAAAGAATAAATTACTTCCTTTTCTTTCTGACACCTAACCCTGAGAAGTGTGAGTTTTTACAACTTTCAAGTTATTGGAAAATTCATTCCCAAACAAGCAAATCTCAAGGTTGGGTCTGCTACACTTTTGGATTCCCCCCACCCTTTTTTCATTTCAATGGCTTTTAATATATTCAGAGGTGTGCATCCGCCATCACAATTTTAGAACATTTTCATCTCAAGAGAAACCTTACCTCTTTTAATTATCACCGTACCCGTTCTCCCATCCCACTTATAAACATATGTGTGTGTGTGTGTGTGTGTGTGTGTGTGTGTGTGTGTGTGTAGGTTAACTGAAAAAGACTGAAGAAAGAGAATAAGAAATTCAAGAAATGAAACTATAGGTTAACTCTACTTCCTACTTAGACTCATTTCTTTAATAATGGATATGGCACGTAGAGAAAGTACAGGACTATAAATCAGGTTAATTCGCTCATCATAAAGTTCATTTGTAGTATCTGTCCCAGCATACTTAGAGCTTTGATAAGAACATGGGTATATTTGTGCAGAGTAGTATAAACAAACTATAAACTAAAACTTATATTTTCACATGAGAGTTTAGTTCATGGAGTAGGAGTAGGAATAACATAAATTTCACTTCCTTAGTTAGAAAAACAATGCTATCAGTTAATGCCTGACCATATAGCATATTGGCTAGACTTAGATTATATTTTAAATTTTTACCTTTATTATTTCAGAATTATAAGAAAGTTAATCGTTTTTTGTGGGGGGGAATGAGGTCTCACTCTGTCACCCAGCCTGGAGTGCAATGGCACAATCTTGGCTCACTGTAGTCTCTGTCTCCTGGGCTCAGGGGATCCTCTTACCTCAGCCTCCTGAGTAGCTGGGACTACAGGTTCGCAATCACACCTGGCTAATTTTTGTATTTTTGTTAGTGTCAGTGTTTTGCCCCATTGCCCAGGCTGGTCTCGAACTACTGAGCTCAAAGGGTTCAGCTTGCCTCAGCCTCTCAAAGTGTTATGATTACAGGTGTGAGCCACAGCTCACAGCCAAGTTACCTTTCTAAGCCTCAGTTTTCTCATATTTAAAAAAGGGGATAATATGTCAACTCCCTTAGGACTTGGGGAAACATTTAAAAGGCAATAAATGTAAAACATTCTCTACACCACTTTTAACTAAATTTTACCTAGATTAGAAATCAAAAAATAAAGGCTTAAAAAGATCAGTTACATTAATTTCTTCACTTCAGATCTGTGCATTTTACTATGTACATTTTAACAAAAATTGCACTGTTAAAGAATTATGATTAGAGTCCACTGGATATACTAATGAAGAGAAGATGAGATATCATTTTTTAAAACAGTGAAAACAAGACAAATACTATGGGCAAATGTAGTGTAATTTAAAATTTATGCTAAGTTGACAGAAAACCATTCCTTTGAATTGATCATAAAAATTAAAATATATAATATGAAATCAATTACTTTAACTGAAGGCTGAAACCAAAGCCATTCCTAAAGTTAGAGTTTTGTTCCATTTCTGGCCCAAAAGAATGGCCCTGAATATTAGGTAATACTGGTTTCAGGAGCTGGAACTCATTCGTCCCTGAGCCTCCTGCCAGGCACACCTCGTACTGATAGTTCTGAGACAGGCTCCCGGTGCCCCTCACGTCCACCAGATGCCCTGGAAAGGGGCCCTCAGGCACTGAGCAGCGACCCACCGAGGCCGCCCTGCTCCTCCTACACAGCAGCACCGCCACGAACAGGAGCACCGAGAAGAGGAAGAGCGAAGACACCGAGGCCAACGCCACCACCAGGTAGACGGTGAGAGAGTCGGCCTGGCCCTGGGCTGGGGCAGCCTCCGGAAGCGGCAGGTAGGGCTGGGAGAAGCCGTCCACCAGGAGCACGTGCAGCGTGGCGGTGGCCGAGCACGGAGGCTCGCCATTGTCCTTGACCAGCACCACCAGCCTCTGCTTGGCCGCGTCGCGCTCGCTCAGCAGCCTGGCGGTGCGCACCTCGCCATTGTGCGCCCACACACCGAACAGCCCGGGCTCCGTGGCCTTGAGCAGCTGGTACGACAGCCAGGCGTTCTGGCCCGAGTCGCCGTCCACCGCCACCACCTTGGTCACCAGGTAGCCCGGCTCGGCCGCCCGGGGCACCAGCTCGGTGCAGGGCGCGGAGCCATTCTGCAGCGGGTACAGCACGAAGGGCGAGTTGTCGTTGGCGTCCAGCACCAGCACGCGCACCAGCGCCTCGCTGCTCAAAGCCGGGGAGCCGCGGTCTGAAGCGCCCACCCGGAACTCGAACGCCTGCAGGGCCTCGTAGTCCAGCGACCTGAGGGCGAACAGGTGGCCGTTGTCTGTGTTGATGGAGACCAGGGAGGCGAGGGGCAGGTGCGGATCCTGGGGCGGCAGCAGCGAGTAGGTGACCTGGGCGTTGGTGCCCGAGTCTCTGTCTGTGGCGCTGACGCTGCCGATGTGCAGGGCGGGGCTGTTGTTCTCGCGGACGAACAGGGTGTAGGAGGTTTGGGTGAAGGCGGGGGCGTTGTCATTGACGTCCGACACCAGCACGGTCATATTGAGATGTGTTGTCAGCCTGGGTGTCCCTAAGTCAGTGACGGTGATAGTGACGTTGTACTCGGCTCTGCTTTCTCTGTCTAGTGGTGTCTCTGTTAGTAGGGTGTAAAAGTTCCCCACAGAAGATTTCAGGAGGAAGGGTAGATCCTCCTGAATGGAGCAACTTATTTTCCCATTTTCTCCTGAATCAAGGTCTGAAACACTGAAAAGTGCAACCACAGTTTCAGGCGCATTCTCAGGTATTGGGCTGGTAAATGCAGACATGGTAACTTCTGGGGCATGGTCGTTCACATCTATCACTTGAATCAGAACGGTGCATTTTCCAGAAAAGCCTCCAGCATCTCTCGCCTCGATATTGACTTCATAGGACTGAAATTTTTCGAAATCAAGTTGTTTCTTTAGTCGAATTTCTCCTGTCAAGAAATCGACCTTAAAAGTTTTGCTTATCTCATCTGAAGCTTGGAAAAGTGAATAGGAAATCTCTCCGTTGACTCCTGTGTCTACATCCGTGGCAGAGACCTTCACAACCAGGAAGCTTATTGGACTGTCCTCAGAGATCTGCACCCTATAGAAAGGCTGCTCAAATTCAGGGGCATTATCATTGACATCGACAACTTCAATGTAGACCTGAGCAGTGCCAGATCTGGGCGGAGAGCCACCATCCAGTGCTGTGAGTGTTAACCTGAGCTCAGCTTCTTCCTCTCGGTCCAGCGCTTTGTCCAGCACCAGCTCTGGGTATTTCCTGCCATCACTGCGTTTGCGGGTGAGGACCCGAAAATAGGAGTTGGGGCTGATTATATAGTTCTCAATATTGTTTTGGCCTATATCTAAGTCTTCAGCATTCTTCAGAGGAAACGCAGTCCCAGGAGGACTGCTCTCTGATACTTTCACCAACATTTGTTTGTCCAGAAATACTGGAGAGTGGTCGTTTATGTCTATTACTTGCAGCTCAGCTTGAAAAAACTCGAAGGGACTCTCTAGCAACACTTGGAAACGTAGCACACAGGGCTCTGTGTGACCGCACAGATCCTCACGGTCCAATTTCTCATTTAGCAACAAATCCGCGGTCTCCTGATTGAGCTGCAAATGTAGTTTGTTCCCTCTGGAAACAACCCTAACCCCCCGCCTGGAGAATTCCCTCTGCTCCAGACCCAGGTCCTTTGCTAAATTGGTGACAAAGGAGCTGCCCTCAGTTTCCTCCACCACAGAATAGCTTCTAGGTTCCGCCGCGCCCGCCAGAGATAAGCCCAAAAGGAGAAAGGAAAAAAGGACTTGCCTTTGTCTGCAAATGAGCTTCCCGCTGGCCTCCATTGTTCTTGCTGAATTCAGCTTCCTGGGAGGACGGTTCTGTGGGACTGTAAAGTCCCCAGTATCTGAGGCTGTGGTTTTCTACAGATACCTCAGAAATATGCCAGTGAGTAGTCCTCTCCAGAGGACCCAGCCGTCCTCCCTTTGGCATCCAAGCTCCCCGTGGACTTCCAGGTTCTGCTGCTTTTTGCCGGTTAATGGAGCTGCAGCTGCGGTTCTGGTTTGTGCCTTCTTATCCTGCAGCGCCACCACGGGTCCTCACAGGATCTTACATTTTGTGGGATGATAATAGATGTAATATTCCCAACTCTGCCTGTATGTACCCTGGGACTATGTAAAGTTACAACACCACGGTTAATATCGCCGGACGTTACTGAGCAGACAACTGCCCGAAGGAGAAATTGCGTTAGTCTTTCAACAATGCTAACTGAGTTTTGGGCAAAAAGGAAATATTTAGGTAACAGTCTAGCTTGGCAAAAAGAATTTCAAATATAATAGTAGTTAACATGGGCAACATTTAGATCTTTATAGTTTTATTTCCATGAACCATAGGAATAATTAGTAGCTGTGAACCTCGAACAAATTATTTAATCTCTCTGCTTTAATTTCCTCATCTGTAAAATGAGGATAATAATAGCACCTACCACATAGGGCTGTTGTGATTTCCCCACCTTACACATGAGGAAACTGATTCAAAGAGAGATTAAGCTTAAAAATAAACTATGTACCCGGTATATGGCAATTTGATACCACCAGGTAGGTGACTCTGCATAAATCCATTGCTATAACTAGAAAAACACCTCAAAATTACATGGTAGAATAGTACAGGAACATGACTATCTCAGGTAGAGAAGTTATGTCAAACAGTGAAGGTAAACAGGGAAAGGCTGGAGAGCTTGTCTAAATAGAGACAAAATGTGTAACAGCAGTGGTGATTTTATTTCTGGGGAAGCGTGTCCTTTTTTGTTACCTCTATTTCTCTTCTAATAGCATCAATTTTAAAAAGCTTTTATTTTGATATTTTTCATATCTCATAAAAGGAGAGGAGTAAAATTAACCTGCAATTACTCAGTACTAGCATCAACTATTATCAATGTCTTGCCATAATTCTTGACGCTATCCCTCCAACATCTTTACGTTCCAGACAAACTGAATTTTCACCCACAAATACTTCATTGTACATTTCTTTAAATGCATAATAACTTTAAGTGACTCTAAAAATACCCTTAAGTACAATGCCATTATTATACCTAAAAAATTCAGTTAATATTACTTAATACCCATCTATATTCAAACTCTTCCAAGTGTTTCAAAGTCATTGCTGATGTTTGAATGAAGATCCAGACAAGATCCACACATTACGTTTGATTGGTAGATCTCGTAAGATCTTTCCTACTGTAGACTTCTCTCCTCCTGTTTTTCATGCTATTTATTTGTTGGAGAAATTAGATAATTTTACCCTAAGACCATGAAAGCATTTTAAGATTTTACTGCTGTGAGGTTTTTTTGCCTCTAGATTCTATCCCACCAGTGATATATAGTAATACTACCTTTATTAGAGTTACCAGCACTAGTTTATAATATTTTCAGAATGCAACCATGCAAAAATTATCTAGATATTTTAAAAATAAAAATCAGTTGTAAATTTTTATAAAAAACAGTGCTTCTCCTTAACTTCCGAGAATTTCTAAAAATTTAATGATCATCTATGATTCTCTTTGATATTATGCATTTAAAACTAACTATTCTTTTTCTTAAATTTTCCTGATTCAATAGTGCACTATAATTAATAGAAAACTTTTAAAAACAAACTTTCAAATCAGGAAAATGTATTACAAATGTTAAGTATGGGTGACTGCAGAAAATCTACAATATGAAGAAAATAATTAACTAATGATGCAATCAAAATTATGTAATATTCCTACTCAGGACCATTAATCTTTTTTCTGGGAAATGAAAGTCATATGTTCTGAAGAAAGGAGAAGGCACAGGTTGCCCTTTCAATTTTGTTTTCCGCTTGAGTTTGGACAGATCAGAGCATTAGTAATAATAGTTGAAAATTGACCCAGAAAAGCAGGACTTTTGGTGTATAAGAAAATAAAACCATAGATAAATATGTACATTATTATTTCTAAATATAGAAAAGATTGGACAGCAGTATAAATATGATAAAAGACTTCTCCTTAATTAGGCAGAAACTTGCCAGGTGATATCTAATGACAGAAAACAGTATGGAATCGGAGCAGGGTCACTGACCCAGAGTCAGACAGATCTGGGATGGATGCTCAGTTTTGTCACTTATTAGTTAGTGGAACTTAGTGAACTTACTGAATCTCTAAGACCATCTATTTGTTCATTCCTAAAATACCATGCCTCATATGCTTCTTCTCAGATTAAAAGTGTTAAAATAGTGTATGATGCATTAAAAGCATTTTTTAAAAATGCTTAAAAAGATACTCTACAGTCTATGCTTCTGAGACTAGGGTAGGTACACTCATACAGCTTTCTAATCAACTCAGGAAGTCTCAGTAGAGATTGAAAACAATGGAAAGCAATTTAAAATATCTCAAACAAGACTTACATTTAATAGACTGTATATTAAGCATAATTGTTTGACATAAAACATTACACATATACATTTCATGCTTTGTGAAGGGTTCTTGATACTAAATCAGGATCCTATTTTATGTATAGAAATTTATTGCTTGACTTCAAGAGTACATATTTGAAATGATGTAAAGACACTCCCTTAAGGGAACCTCGCAATAAGTTCCTAATCAGAAACGTATTCACAGACGCGGATTTAGTTTACATTCTTTATCAGAAACCCAAATTATTCTGAAATGGGCGATTTTCTTCCACTTCCCTGCCTGTGCTCTGGGGTAGCAGGTTGGGGATAATTGGTTTCAGAAACTTGAACTCATTTGTCCCGGAGCCTCCAGTCAGGCACACCTCATACTGGTAGCTCTGGGATAGGGTCCCGGTGCCGCTCAAGTCCACCAGATGTCGTGGAAAGGGGCCCTCAGGCACCGAGCAGCGACCCACCGGGGCCGCCCTGCTCCTCCTGCACAGCCGCACCGCCACGAACAGGAGCACCGAGAGGAGGAAGAGCGAAGACACCGAGGCCAACGCCACCACCAGGTAGACGGTGAGCGAGTTGGCCTGGTCCGGGGCCGCCTCCGGGAGCCGCAGGTAGGGCTGGGAGAAGCCGTCCACCAGGAGCACGTGCAGCGTGGCGGTGGCCGAGCGCGGAGGCTCGCCATTGTCCTTGACCAGCACCACCAGCCTCTGCTTGGCTGCGTCGCGCTCGCTCAGCAGCCTGGCGGTACGCACCTCGCCATTGTGCGCCCACACGCCGAATAGCCCGGGCTCCGTGGCCTTGAGCAGCTGGTACGACAGCCAGGCGTTCTGGCCCGAGTCGCCGTCCACCGCCACCACCTTGGTCACCAGGTAGCCCGGCTCGGCCGCCCGGGGCAACGGCTCGGTGCAGGGCGCGGAGCTGTTCTGCAGCGGGTACAGCACGAAGGGCGAGTTGTCGTTGGCGTCCAGCACCAGCACGCGCACCAGCGCCTCGCTGCTCAGCGCGGGGGAGCCGCGGTCTGTGGCGCCCACGCGGAACTCGAACGCCTGCAGGGCCTCGTAGTCCAGGGACCTGAGGGCAAACAGGTGGCCGTTGTCCGCGTTGATGGAGACCAGGGAGGCGAGGGGCAGGTGCGGGTCCTGGGACGGCAGCAGGGAGTAGATGACCTGGGCGTTGGTGCCCGAGTCTCTGTCTGTGGCGCTGACACTGCCGATGGGCAGGGCGGGGCTGTTGTTCTCACGGACAAACAGGGTGTAGGAGGTTTGGGTGAAGGCGGGAGCGTTGTCATTGACGTCGGAGACCAGCACGGTTATGTTGTGCTCGGTTTTCAGCCTGGGTGTCCCCAAGTCGGTGACGGTGATGGTGATGTTGTACTCAGTGTTCCTCTCTCGATCCAAAGGTTTCTCTGTTACCAGAGTATAGAAGTTTTCGACAGATGGCTTCAGGATGAAGGGGACATCGTCCTGGATGGAGCACACTGTCTTTCCATTGTTCCCGGAATCTCTGTCTCTAATCCTAAAAACAGCCACGACTGTCTCGGGTGAGTTTTCTGCAATTGGGCTAGTAAGTGAAGACAGGAGCAGCTCGGGTCGATTATCGTTTATATCTGTTACATCAACCACTACAGTGCATTTTCCAGAAAGCCCGCCGCCGTCTTTGGCCTGAATAGTTAATGTGTAAGTTTGAATTGCCTCATAGTCCAATTGCGCTTTAAGATGAAGACTGCCAGATGTTGGATTGATTTGAAACGTTTTGAGAATTCTTTCAGTGGCGTAAGAAAATGCATAGGCTATTTCCCCATTACTTCCGGTATCTAAATCTCTGGCTGACACGGAGACAACCATGGAACCAACGGGGCTATTTTCGGGCACCTGCACCTTGTAGAGCGACCGCACAAAATCAGGGGCGTTGTCATTTACGTCTAGAACCAGAATGCGCACGAGGGCGGTCCCTGATCTTGGAGGAGAGCCGCCGTCTAAAGCGGTGAGGGTTAAACTGAACTCTGGTATCTCTTCCCGATCCAGCACTTGATTCAGCACCAATTCGGGATAGATATTCCCCTCCCCGCTATCATGGACATTAATATGGAAATAGGCATTGGGGCTGATGGTGTAGTTACTCAGGCTGTTGGTTCCAACATCTGAATCCTGTGCACTCTCTAGGAGAAATGCCGCCCCTGGAGTGGTACTTTCTAATATTTTCAAGGAAATCTCTCTGTCTAGAAATACTGGAGCGTGATCATTGATGTCTCTGACCCATAGTTCAGCACGGAAAATCTGAAAAGGTTTTTCCAATAACAACTGGAAAGGCAGCACACAGGGCTCTCTGGGGCCACACAGTTCCTCTCGGTCCAATTTCTCATTTAGAAGTAGATCACCAGTAAGCGAACTGAGCAGTAAAATTTGCATGTTCTGGTCTGAAACAATTCTAGTTCCCCGGGCTCTCAGTTCCCCTACCCCTAACCCTAGGTCTTTTGCCAAGTTGGTAAGAAAGGTGCCTCTCTCGGTTTCCTCCGCCACAAAATACCGAAGCGGTTCGGCGCCAGCCCAAGACATTCCCAGAAATACACAAAGAAATAAGACTTGCCTTTTCTGCACAGCACGCTCCACTCTGGCCTCCATTCTTCTTTGGATCAGTCTTTCAAAATGACTTTCACTCAGCCTCCAGCGGCTCTCACAAATGGCAGCAGCGGAATCCTTTGAAATGAGCTGAATAATAGCAATGTTTGTGGGGAAGGATCCTCATTTTACCCCAATTCCTATTACCACTGTTTCCTTTCCTATGCTTTTCTCTTCAGATTGCCTCTTTGCTCTGGAATCTGTAACATCCTTTCTTTGTGAAATTATTTTTCTCTCTCTCTTTTTAGCCAGCAGCGCCACCTTGCGTTTTGTGGATGTTATTCCCGTTATCAAGACTAGAACAAAAAGATGGCGGATTGAAGGAATTCTGCAACAAGAATGATTTGTCCCCGGTATCTTTGCTGTTTCATTCCATCTTTATCCTCAAATGGTCACAGTAATGCTAGTAAGTAATAGCTGATGTCGTTTTCCCCTGTGATAATCTGGATTCGTAGAAGAATTAATTTATAGTCTTCTTAAATCTAGGAGCATGAAACTAAACTCTGACTCCCCACCGAAATCCTAAGAAAATCTCCTATTTTAAAAATGGATAGTAAAAATATATATGAGAAAATGAAACCTCCTCCTTGAAGTCAACAAATATTGGTTGGGGACATTTTATTTATTTGTAAAGTATTTAACAATAATAATGTGAATATGGCAGAATAATTGACCCTTTTCCCAATTTCTTGTGAATTAAACAATTATTCCACTTTCCAGGTCTTAACTCTTTACCTGTGATATTTCTTGGAACACTTTATGCCTCCCCCAAACCCAACCTTCATCCTTCACCTGATTTAAGTATTACATAAGAAATTATTGTTCCTCTATAATTTCAGTGACTAGAATCTCCAATGTCCAATGAATACTCTTAAAATTAGTAGTAGCAAGTTGGTCAATCTTGCATTTGTGGAAGTGCTTCTAGCATTTCATCTTCAACTATGATGGTTGATCTCAATTTGGGGTAAATATTCCTTTTTTGAATCAATAAAGTTTTCTTTTTATTCTTTCATATTTTGAAGTGATTTTTGATAGCTGTTGAAATAATACATTTATTCTTTAGTTTCTAAATTACTGAGTTATTGATATAAATGACATTTAACCATAATGTATTATTGTTTTAGTGCACAGATAGATATGATGTGTCAACATGGTTTTAGGATTTTTCTAGTTAATGTTGTTTACCTAGTGCGTGTTTGCCTTTTATGGCCTTGGTATTAAACTATTATACTGGCATCATAGAATGTGTTAGGGAGCTTTTTATCTATTTTATACAATAGTTTTAATAATTATATTATTATATGTTTCTACATGCTTAATTCCAGCTTGTCTTTTAAACTGGTTGGGTTTGGTGACTTCACTTGCAGTAGATCAGTGACTACCATTTACATTTTACCTTTGGTTATTAATCTGTTCAGGTTTTGTATTTTTAAGTAACTTGCATTTTATTTTGAAAATCATTTTATCTAGTTTGCAAATTTCTTGGAATTGTTTTCATTGCGTTATTTACCTTTAATTGTATCCCTATTTTTATTAGTGATGTTTAGCATTTTAACTCCTTTTTATTCTTGGTGAGACTTGCAAGAGCTCTACTTTACTGATATTTTGAAATGCATTTTTTTCAAAATAATATATGACCTTGGTCCAAAATTAAATAGCACTAAGAGGCTTGTTCTGCCCTTTTCCTCCTCACTTTTCTTAGTTCCCCTTCTAAGAGGTAGCCATTTTAAAACTCTTTTAGTTATCTCTTCAGTCACTAATCTGTTTTCTGATATATTTTGATTAATTAATTTTAGAAATTATCAATTGACTGTTTATTATGTTAGATTACATTTTAGGTATTTTAGATTTTCTTTTACTTACCATATATTGGGAACATTATTGTGTATTAATTATGTTTTCTTTTTCAATTTTTTTGTGATTTTAATAATTATCTTGCCTTTTCATTTACTTGATTTTTTTTATCCCTATCACTTATTCATCCCACAGATACAATTGCCTGTCAGTGCAATTTTCCCCATAGTCATTTCCATTCCTCCTGAGACTTCAATTTTTCTTTAAATTGGGTGGTTGCTTTCTGTGCCTACTGCACAGCTATCATTCTGGATTTTTTTCTTTGCTGTCATTCTTGGAATTCTTTGCCTTTTATTCTGGATGTGTTTGCTATTTCTGGGATTTTATAACTTGCCCTTTTTCAGTTTACTCTATGGCATTACTAGAACACATCCTCCAATAGGTTCATATGATTGAAAAGATGATACAATGTTAAGAGGATTGCTAATGATATCCTTCAAAATCTCTGTCTCTTGAGTCAAACAGCTCCTTACTGGACTAGTTGTTCATTATGCTCAGTTGTCATCCTTGGATCATCCTTCAGCATCACCTGGAGATTCATTTCACTTCTGTCCTGTTTTGGATCTTCTAGTTTCTGTTTCTTCTGTCTTCTCCTGTCTTGAATTAGGTTCTCATTTTGATAGATACCTTCCAGTAGTTTTCGGAGAAGGGTGTTTCAGAGTTAAATGTTTTTGTGATCTTAAATGTACTAAGATGTCTTTATTCTACCCTCAAACTTGATTAGTAGTTTGACTAAATATAGAGTTTTAGGTTGAAAATAATTTTTCTTCTGAATTTTTGTTTTGTCAATGAGCTTTCCAAACCAATCTGTTTGCAAAGAAGTCTAAAGCTAATCTTATTTCTTATCTTCCATATGTGACCTATATTTTTATTTTTTGTTATAGTGTTTTTTCATTGTCCCAAGCACTTTAAAATTAAACAATTGTATGTTTTGGTTTGGGGTTATTTTCCATCCATTGCACAGTATAATTGATGAGACATTTCATCTAGAAAACTAATTTTCTCCTGCTCTTAGAAATCTCTTTAAACTATTTCATTTATAATCCAACTCCCATTTCATTTTTAGAATTTCTGTAATTCAGATGTTAGACTTCTGGTATGGTTCTCTAATTTCTTTATTTTTTTTCTCTCCTACTTGCCATTGTAAAATATTTTTGCAGTATTTTCTAGAACATTTTCTGAACTTTATCTTCGAGCCCTTATATTGAGATTTTTATTTCTTTATTAGGTTAGTATTTTCCTAGACTTGTCTCTTCTATTTAAAGAGCTCTCTTTTGGGCTTATTTCTTAGATGCAATAACTTCTTTTTTCATCTGATGATATTAATAATCGCTTTTCCACCAAGTTTTCTTCTTGCTGCAGACTTTCCATTTTCTCCAAGTTACCTTTTTACTCTTTGCTTTTCTTTAACTTCTGTATGCCTTTTCAGAAACTTTCTTCACGTGTTTGTTCTTAATTTAGTTTGGGAGACTACAGAGCTGAGTGATGGCTCTGAGTAGTTTGATAATTCTTGTCCACCTTGATTTTTCATTCTAAAGTGAACTGGGAGCACTGATGGATGGGGAAACCTCAGTGTCAGTGTGATTAGGTCTTTCCGGTTGGACTGGCCAGATTACCACACTCTTTGAAATCCCCTATCCAAAAGGAAAAGATATAGATTGAAAAAGGTGAAGGATTAAGTGGGTGAAGAGGAGTACAGTTTTGCATCAGGATAGGCTAAATTATGTTTCAATACCAAACAACTTGCCCAAATCTCAACAGCTTAACACAATGAAAGTTGATTTCTTCCATCCTGGCTAACACAGTGAAATCCCGTCTCTACTAAAAATACAAAAAACTAGCCAGGTGTGGTGGCGGGCGCCTGTAGTCCCAGCTACTTGGGAGGCTGAGGCCGGAGAATGGTGTGAACCGGGGAGGTGGAGCTTGCAGTGAGCCGAGATCGTGCCACTGCACTCCAGCCTGGACGGAGCGAGACTCCGTCTCAAAAAAAAAAAAAAAAAAAAGAAAGAAAGTTGATTTCTTTCTTATACTATATATCCTATATAGTTCAGCCTGGGGCCCTCCTCACAGCAGTCAGTCAAGGATCTAAACTTGTGGAGATTCCATCTTCACATATACTTCCGTGATCACTGTAGTGGGAAAAGAAAATGTGTTAAACCGTGCCTCCAAAAACTTCAGCCCAGAATGGATATATGTCACTTCTCACATTTTATTAGCCAAAGGAAATTACATGGCTACACATAATTTTAAACAGAAATAGAATTGAAATTCTACCATATGTCCAAGAAGGGGAGAACCAAAATATTTGTGATTGGTTCAAATGACTATCACAGCATTTTAACAATCAACCAGAATTCAATATTTAGATGGTTACTTACTTTTGCTACCCATATTACCCATGACCTCCATTTTGTTGGCAGAACCTCTCATATAATAACCCTCCTTTTTGCGCTCTTCAGAAAATAAAACTCCAGACTTATGTTAGGGTCAAGGGGGTAGGTAGGTTACTCAGTGACTGGAATGGGGAAATGTGATCTAACTGCTAGAGATTTAACTGCTTTACAGGAATCTTTAACACAATCCTTCTTATTTGGCATGAGGAACTAGGATTGACATTTCAGATGCCTCTATATGTCCCACCATCTAAACAGAATTTATTCTAGTCCCACAGTCTGAACAGGATCGATTCTCAGCTCTTCCCACTTCATGACTGGTAGTTGATTTGTCAGGTCTACTAAATCATTCATCTGTTTTCCAGCTTCTAAGAGTTTTCCCTGTTGTCTTCTACATTATTCTCTTCATCCTTATTAAGTTTATGTTTCTGAAAATATATGTTCATGTTTTCTTAGTGCATTTTTAGAGGGAGCCAAATGAAAGGTGCATGTCTCCTACATCAATTATATATAGAACCTAAAATATCCTTGGCTTTTTCAAAGAAATCACTTTTTGTTTAATTGGTCAAATATTATGTGGTTTTATTCTATTTAATCAATTTTTGCTTTTATATTTTTAATTCATTCCTCTTATTTTCCTTATTTTTAAAAATTCTTGTTTTGATTCTTGAGTCATTTACTTTGTCCCTTTTTTCTCAATAAACCTTGATTTCTAAAATATGCATGTAAGTCTTACATTTTTCTCTATTTACCCTTATACTCTTACCTTAAATATCACTTTATTAAAGAAACTTCTTATATCAGCTAGAATTATATTCTATATAACTTATAGATCTATGTTCTATATCAATTTAGCTTGAAGTTACAGATAAAGCCATAATAACAGTGACTTAAACAAAATATAAAAGAAGGCTAGTGGCTGAAAATGCACTCCATGATATCTGGGACCCAGTCTCATTCCATCATTGATTTGCTATCTTCAGGACATGGCCTTTACTTCATTGTCCAATGTAGCTGCCTAATAAGCAGTCATTACATCCGCATTCATGCCAACAAAAAGAGGAAGGAAAGGGTGTGCTTTCATTTTTTAAAAAGATTATCTCCATAAGGTACTCCATGGCACTTGTGCTTTTATCTCACGGTCTACAATTTAGTTACAAGATGACACCTGGCTGCAAGAGAGGTTGAAGAATATAATCCATAGCTCACATACGTACATAAGCAGCTAAAATCAGATGTATAAATAAGGGGAGAATGTATATTTGGGTTAAAGTAGCCATCTATATCACACCCACTTAGACCTGACCTATTGCCCCAACTGCCCACTAGGAACAGATAGGGTCAAAAAAGTTATCCAATTCAGAGCAGTTATTAAAGGAACATACGACTGTCTCTCTCCATATTGGCAGTGTGGCTTGTAGCCAAAAGAATTATTGTTCCACTGAAAGCTAAGCCCAGGAAGCAGTAGAGAAATTAATTCAAGTGCTAGGACAAGGCCTTTTGAACAATGTTTCCCCAGTGTGCTATTGTAATATGCCATCCATTCCTACTTCATTTTATAAATTTTTTAAAAATTCAGGGTCTAGAAAGCTTAAAACTCCATTTTCCAGACTTCTTAGAATTATTATTCTGGATGTAAATTAGGTTTTGCCAATGAGATTCCTTCACGTGAGCCTTAGAATACAGGCAAAGGTGGTCTTCCACTGTTCACCAATAAGGTCAGAAAGATATGAATGCTTGCAGCCAAGTCAGCATTCCTCTGTCTAGCCATCACCTTCTTAGGGAACTGGAGACCACTGTGGCATCCAGACACTCTGTGCCAGTGTGCAGCCATCAGTTTTGGAGGTGGGAGAGGGCACTGTGGGAGCAACAGTTTTGGTAGTAGTAGTAGCATCAGCTTCCTGATTCCTGTGCTGCAGCTGTGGTCACATGCCTTCAAAACCATTTCAGTGCTGACTCTCTTACTTCTGCTTGTCCATTTCTTCCAGTGATTTTATATAAGCATCTAAGTCCTTGTAGCTGATATCTTTTTTGGTTTTGGTTAGAGACACACAGAGTGGTTGTTGGTTTTTTGTCCTGAACTCTGAATAATTCATCCAAATTCAAAATTTTATTCCTTCACTCAAATTATAAGTAATAGGGGCCTCTCGATTAGAGTTTGTAAAAGAAAAAAACTGTAAAACATAAAATCATCAAGGCTTTAAGGCACTAGTCCCTTAATCTAACACAACTTAGTTTAAGAATAGGGGAGAATAAAAAATTTCAGATGTACTCGTGAGAGACTAAGGATAAAAGTGTTTGATAAATTTGATGTATATCTTTTTTAAAAAGCAGAACATGGTCTGAAGGCGAATAAAAATCTTTCATCCTCCCTTCATGTGTAACACAATAAGTCAAAATTTGTTTTAAAAATGTGTTATTTGTAAAGAAATAAGAAAGGGCTCAACATCATGTTATAAATTTTAAAAAATGAAAGCTGGGTCACATATTTTAAATGACATATTGTTAGGTGAACAAAGCAAGTATCAAATACTGTAAATAATAAATGGGCATTTTATAAAAAAGAAATAAAATATTTTGTTATCATGTTTAGGCTTACTAAGCCAGATAAAATAACAGACTGAAATTTATTTATTGCTTTATTCAACACTCATTCACCTATATTTATTTCAATACAGCCACGTGCTGCATAACGACATTTGGTCAACCATGGATGGCATATACAATGGTGGTCCTGTAAGATCATAATGGAGCTGAAAAATTTTTATTGCCTAGTGATGCCATACCTATAGTAATGTCATAGTGCAATGCATTATCTGTTCTATGTTTAGATACACAAACACTAACCATTGTGTTATAATTGTCTACAGTAGTCAGTAGAGTAACATGATATACAGGTTTGCAGCCTAGGAACAATAGGCTATACTGGGTATCCCAGGTGTGTATAGTAGGCTACGTTATCTGGATTTGTGTAAGTACACTCTATGATGTTGGAGCAATAATGAAATTGCCTAATGACACAGCTTTCAGAATGTATTTCTGCTATTAAGCAATGAATGGCTGTGTATATATTTGTCTAAGCCCATAAGATAAAGAGCCCTCTTTGTGAAGAGAGTACTGTCTAGTGGAGAGGGGAGATTATTGATTTGTCTGAGTACTCCGTACTCAGTTGATGAAACACTGGATTCAATGGATTCAAAGGAAAAATAGCCTAATTAATATATAATTGAAATGGTGGAAAAACTGAATCTTCAGGTTGAATAAACAATAGACAGAGCTTGTCATTTCTGAAAACGATAGTATCAATAATTCATATGACCCTCCTAAGGAAAACAAAATATAATGGACAAAACTTAAGAAAAACTTCAAAACTAATGAAGAGTCAAAAACATAGTAGAAAATGGCAGAAAAAGCCCAATTTTTATGGAAGCCTGTAAGAGAGGGGTAAACAGAGTATCAGAACAACAAAACTTCTTATGCTCTCAGGGCATTTAAAAATATTTGTACTCAGGCTTTGATCTGAAGCTGTGGGATTAAAGAAATATAAATCAAGGCTCAGGTGTAACCACAGTTGCAGCATATTATAGAAAGATCCTCTTCATATTAAGGGACCACTCAGGGATACATCCATAATGTAAATACAGTGTAAACACCAGCAAATCTAAACCTGCCCTCAGCCTCTAACTCCAGGGAATTATATAGAAGTCTCCCTGATTTTAAGCAGAGAAGAAGAAAAAGAAAAAAAAAACATGCCTGGGAAGTTGTACCTACATATTGTGTGTGTGTGTGTGTGTGTGTTTGTGTGTGTGTATTGAGATGGGGTCTTACCCTACTGCCTAGGTGGGTATAGAACTCCTGAGCTCAAGTGATCTTCCCACCTCAACCTCCTGAGTAGCTGGGACTACAGGCCCACACCACTGCACGTGGCCCTCTTGTGTATTTGTATTTTGAATATACATAGGTTGAGATGCAAGGAACCTCAAGCCATTTAATTAATTTGTGATAGTCCACTATTGATAGTGTTTCCAATATCCTGGCTGAAACAAATGAAAATCCATTTTGATAGTTGGAACATGTGCAACCTAGGCTTTGTAGATACCCTACAAATAAATTTTCAAGGGCAATCAACCATGCACATCCTACAAAGAAACAAAGACATCATGAATGAGAAGGAGCAGAAACAAAATAGAGTAGGCATAGGCCCACACAAACTTCAGATATTAGAACTATAAGGCAGATTTTAAAACAAAATATACTTACCATATATAAATAAATAAATGATATACTTGAAAATATCTGCATGAACAGATTGAAAAGGCACGCTGAGTTCCAGGGAAAAGTAATGTGTAATTACCATAATCAAGACATAATCTGATAAAGATAATGAATTTCAAGGATAGAAAACAAGTTACCTACAGGTGAAGCAAACAGGCTTCAGTATTTCCCTGAGCAACATTTAATACCAAAACAGAATGGAAATGTCTACAAGATTCTGAGGGAAATAAATTATGGCTCAATTATTTTACACATAGCCAAGCTGTTGCTCAAGTACAAAGACAACAATGCAGCAAACAGGAAAGAATTCATTAACCCTTGTGCTAGTACTGATGAATTCTTTTTGAAAAAAATACTACTTAAGGATAAAAATCAAGTGACTTATAGATGACTGTAGAAACTATGATAGAAGAACTAATGTTATATTTAATGTCAACAAATCTTTGATGAAAAGAAAGTCCATTGAAAAATTTTATACCCAGCTAAATTGTATTTCTCAAGCATGTGAAAAAATACAGCACCTATGAACTCTTATCTAAAGACTGACATCTGATGAAATCAAGCAAATCGAGATAAAACAACATAAATGATTCAGGTACAGGAAAACTAGCACAATATGACTGACAGTAAGGACTGTATTTTACTCTAGTTTGAGCACACTAGTGTTTCTCAATTTTTTCCTGAAACTTTATGTAAATGATAGAGGGCAAGGGTTTAAAATAAACAAAGCTATAAAGACAAAAATAATGGAGAAGAATAAATCGCAGGGGAGAGAAGTCACAAAAATTTTGGAAGATGCAAAGCACACAGACAATTGGTAACTGACAGTTTTCTTTTTTTTTCTTTTTTCTTGTTGCTCTCAAATGAAAAGGAGGAAAATTAATAAGAAAATCAAATGTAGCCATAGTAATAATCCAGACTGAGGACCCAGGGAGAGGCTAAAAATAACATTGGCTGAAGATCTATATAAGGAGTACTTATATCTGAGAATTCCTTTCCTACTCAGCGAAGCAAGGCACTTTCCCTTTTCTCATCATGGCAGAAAATAGGAGGTGTAATATCCATAGTGGTTTAATAGGAAGGGCTCTGGACTGAAGGACATGAGCACAACTTAGGGCAGGACTGAGATCTTAGTGAGAAAGTGGGTTAAAAAAAATTAAGACACTTTCTCTCAAACCAAGGAGCTTACAAAGTGCTAGGTGTCAAGTTTATAATAACTTCCATCCTACCCATCCTTACTGAATTTCTCTCTGAAGAACAATGTGAGCCCAAGAGAGAAGACTTACAGATATTGACCTTTTGTCTCCAAATGTTTCCTGTTTCATTACCCTAAGGTGAGGTCCACCACTCAACTAGTCCCACCCAAACATACAATGTTTATCAGCTTTTAAGTGCCTTATTTTATAAAAGGAAAAAATACACCGGGCACGGTGGCTCACGCCTGTAATCCCAGCACTTTGGAAGGCTGAGACGGGTGGATCACCTGAGGTCAGGAGTTTGAGACCAGCCTGGCCAACATGGTGAAACCTCATCTCTACTAAAAATACAAAAAATCAGCCAGGCGTGGTGGCAGGCGCCTGTAATCCCAGCTACTTGGGAGGCTGAGGCAGGAGAATCACTTGAACCCAAGAGGCAGAGGTTGCAGTGAGCTGAGATTGCACCACTGCACTCCAGTCTGGGCGACAGAGCGAGATTCTGTCTCAAAAAAAAGAAAACGATACATAATTGGGCTTCATCAAAATTTTAAAAAATCTTTTTTACTTCAGAGGACACTACCAATAAAGTGAAAACACAACTCACAGAATGGCAGAAAGTATTTGTAAATCATGTATCTGATAAGAGTCTAGTATCCAGAACATATAAAGAACTACTAACATTCAACAATTAAAATATTAAAAAATTAGATAACTGGCAAAGAATTTGAGTATACATTTCTTTAAAGAAGATACTCAAATGAACAATAAGCATATGAAAAGAAATATAACATGATTAGTCATTTGGGAAATGCAATTCAAACCATAATAGGATACTACTTCACACCTTCTAAGATGGCTATAATAACAAAAAATAAGTGTTGGTGAGGATGTAGACAAATTGGAACCCTCATACACTGTTGAGAGGAATGTAAAATGGTATAGTCACTTTGGAAAACAGTTTGACAGTTCCTCAAAAAGTTATATAGAGTCAGTATGTGACCCAGTAATTCCATTCCTAGGTATACACCCAAGAGAAATGAAAACATGTTCACACAAAAACTCATACATGAATGTTCCTAGCAGCATTATTCATAATAGCAAATAGTGGAAACAAACCCGAATGCCCACCAATTGATGAACAAACAAAATGTGGTACATTCATACAATGGGATATTATTTAGCCATAGAAAAGAATGAAGTGCTGATGCATGCTGTAACATGAATGAACCTTGAAAACATTATGTTAAGTGTAAGAAGCCAGACATATTCTATGATTCAATTTACACGAAATGTCTAGAACAGGCAAATCCAAAGAAACATAAAGTTGATTAGTGGTTTCCAGGGGCTGGAAGGAGGAGGGAATGGGGAGTGACTGCTTAAGGGTACCAGGTTTCTTCTTTGTGCTGATGAAAATGTGAAAAATGTTCTAGAATTAGATAGTGGTAATAATTGTACAGCCCTTGGAATATACTAAAAACCACCAAACTCAATTTTTAAAAAAGTGAATATTATGGTATGTGAATTATAGCTCACCAAAGAATTTTAAAACTGCAAGGCTACTATAGAAAGAAATATGCAGAGACCAAGAAAAAGCTTTCTGAAAGTAAAACTATGATAGCAAAAGCTTAAAATTTAGCCATAGAGGAAATTTACTGGAATCCAGGAAAATAAAGACAGAAGATAGAACAAGAATAAGAAAAATTAAATATCAAACCAGGTCAGTATACAATTAACAGAAATTGCAGAATAAAAAACCAAAAACCATTTAGTAGGGGAAATAATTTTTTAATTAAAAAAAACCCTAACAATCCTGTTCTAGTCTGAAGAACATGTCTCAAGATTGTCAAGTCTCATTGAGTAACTAGTGCAATAAATGACCAAAATTCTTATAGTATGACACAGTGACGAAATTCTAGAACACTGGAGGTACATACAAGAACCTCAATTTATCTGGATTAAGGTTTCTCAGCCTCAGCACTGTTGGCAGCTGTGACCATCAAAAATGTTTCCAGACATTGCCAAATGTTTGATAATTGCCAGACATTTACCAAAGGTGGCAAAATTGCCATTGGTTGAGAATCAGGGATCTAGAAGGAAAACAAAGTTTCTCAGAAAAGAATGGGTAATATCTCAACTTTGGTGATTAGAAGACAACAGAGGAATGTCTTCAAAATACTAGCAGCAAATAATTCCTAACCTATAATTCCACACCCAACAAAATCTTCAAATAGACATTTGCGTTTCTGACATCTGAAATTTTTATATTCATATGATCAAAAGATTTATTACCAAATATTCTTCTGACAGTTAAGGGAGAAAACCAAACAAGAGGAAGATGTAAAATCCAGAAGAGGAAATCAAATGGAAGAGGAAGATAAACTCCCAAGTTAGTGGGAAAAGCAAACTGCCAGCTGTGCAGTAGGTCTAGAGAGCAAACAATGTACAATGGAACAAGACTCTGAATAGCTCCAGGATGGCTCCAGGAGAAAAGAATGGAACCGATAAATTTCTTTATGAGTTTAACCTAAGTTAGGAGCTTCAGGCTTTACAAAATTTGTGGGTAATTTTAAAAGATGTACATAGAAAAGTAGTTGAAAAAGAAGGCAATTATGACCTTAAAGGTAAAAAAAGAGGCTTTTTGTTTTTACTCTTCAGGCTTAGGTGTAAGTAACATTTTTATGGTGACAATTATATAAACATTATCTAAACAGAATTTTGATATTGCTAGGTAGAGGAAATGTCCGAGTTGTGTGTGCGTCTGTGTGTGTACCCCTTAAAAACTGGATATCTAAAACTGGGATTTGAGAAAAAGCACTTTATAAGCATATGTGATTTTTAAAAATAGGGAAGTAAATATGGGAAAACACATAAGAGCATCAAAAGTGGTTACCCTGGGCAGTCAGACTTGAATAAAATTGGAAAAAACTTTTAAATTAAAATTTAAAAAATATGAAATGCTGGCCAGGTGCAGTGGCTCACACCTGTAATCCCAGCACTTTGGGAGCCCGAGGCAGGTGGATCACCTGAGGTCAGGAGTTCGAGACCAGCCTGACCAACATGGTGAAACCCCATCTCTACTAAAAATACAGCATTAGCCAGGCATGGTGGCGCACGCCTGTCATCCCAGGTACTTGTGAGGCTGAGGCAGGAGAATCGCTTGAACCCGGGAGGTGGAGGCTGCAATGAGCCGAGATCACGCCACTGCACTCCAGCCTGGGCAACAAGAGTGAAACTCCGTCTAAAAAAAATATGAAATGCATAAACAATTATGGCAAGTATTCTTTCAAAATACATTGTAAATGTTATAAATATTGATAAGGTAATATATATTTAATACAAAAAGGATAAGTAAGTTTAAGAAAGAACGGGTATAAAATGTTTATTTGCTCATTTTTAAGCAGGCAGTTAAGTAATGCTAATGTCTTAATATGCATCTAATCTTGCTTTTTAACCTTTATAGGGACTACTTATCAAAGCTTAAGCAAGTTCTATAGTTTCACACTTCGTTTTATTGTATTCAATCTAATCATTTTTATCAGAAGCTATCAATTTATTATAGATCCATTTTATAAAATTATTTTCATCTATTACTTTATTCTTATATACATTCATTGAAATATTTTAGAATGATGTTGACTTAATGAAATTAGTTCTGATGGTGGAATAATGATGTTAATTTGCTTTCTCTTTTGTACTTACTGTATGTTTGAATCATATGATTATATTTTATTTTTATTTATTTATTTATTTTTGAGATGGAGTCTCTCTCTGTCACCCAGGCTGGATTGCAGTGGCATGATCTCAGCTCACTGCAACCTCCGCCTCCGAGGCACAAGGGATTCTCCTGCCTCAGCCTCCCAAGTAACTGGGATTACAGGCACTTGTCACCACGCCCAGCTGATTTTTGTATTTTTTAGTAGAGATGGGGTTTCAACATGTTGGCCAGGCTGGTCTCGAACTCCTGACCTCAGGTGATCCGCCCACCTTGGCCTCCCAAAGTGCTAGGATTACAGGTGTGAGCCACTGCTATATATTATTTTAAAAGAAGGAGAATCATTATTTACATACCAAAGCCATTTATTATTAAAAAAAAAGCAATCACAAGTCAACCAACCTTTTTTCTATTATTCTTTCATGTAACAGGAGTTGAATCCTTTAGAATAACAGCCGATGGTCTATAAATATCAATTTTGAAAAAAGAAATTCAGGAGAGAAAACATCACCTAGGTAAAATATTGGTTCATTTGAGGGAAGAGTAGTGTTTTTGAAACAACACAACAGAAGTGCAACAATTTACAAGATTACTAAAATTTTTGCATAAATGAAAATTATTTTTTAGGCTAAAAGCTGTGATTTACGATAGACTTAGAGTCATGCTGATGATAACCAGAAAGTTTGAAACACTATTCTCTTAATCATAACATATCAATGAACAAGTTCAAATACTGGGAACCTGAAAACACCTGTGAGTTCCAAAATCTGACCAAACAAAAACAACAACCATAGGAAACACCATTTCTCTGCTATTGTGTGCACATGCTGTAACTAACATAGCTGACAACCACCACAACAAAAATTAAAGGGAATGGAAAATAGTCCAGCAGGTTGAAATAGCTATAAATATGACAGCCATTACTAATGTGTGAATATGTGACTCTACGCGAATGAGAGAATTGGGAACTTACAGATGAATAGTGAATTCTATGATTTATCACGACCTGTTGTCAGATTCCTAATTGAACCCAAAATGATTCCTAGAGTTGGAGTTTGCCTCGCTGTCCCCACCAGTCCCTTCACCCAAGAAGTTGGGAAGTACCGGTTTAAGAAACTTTAACTGGCTCTCAGAGCTTTCTGCCAGGTAAACTTCATACTGATAATTCTGGGACAGGGTCCTGGTGCCACTCACGTCCACCAGATGCCCTGGAAAGGGGCCCTCGGGCACCGAGTAGCGACCCACCGAGGCCGCCCTGCTCCTTCTGCACAGCCGCACCGCCACGAACAGGAGCACCGAGAAGAGGAAGAGCGAAGACACCGAAGCCAACGCCACCACCAGGTAGACGGTGAGCGAGTCGGCCTGGGCCTGGGCCGGGGCCGCCTCAGGGAGAGGCAGGTAGGGCTGGGAGAAGCCGTCCACCAGGAGCACGTGCAGCGTGGCGGTGGCCGAGCGCGGAGGCTCGCCATTGTCCTTGACCAGCACCACCAGCCTGTGCTTGGCCGCGTCGCGCTCGCTCAGCAGCCTGGCGGTGCGCACCTCGCCATTGTGCGCCCACACGCCGAATAGCCCGGGCTCCGTGGCCTTGAGCAGCTGGTACGACAGCCAGGCGTTCTGGCCCGAGTCACCGTCCACCGCCACCACCTTGGTCACCAGGTAGCCCGGCTCGGCCGCCCGGGGCACCAGCTCGGTGCAGGGCGCGGAGCCGTTCTGCAGCGGGTACAGCACGAAGGGCGAGTTGTCGTTGGCGTCCAGCACACCAGCACGCGCACCAGCGCCTCGCTGCTCAAAGCCGGAGAACCGCGGTCTGAGGCGCCCACGCGGAACTCGAACTCCTGCAGGGCCTCGTAGTCCAGCGACCTGAGGGCAAACAGGTGGCCGTTGTCTGTGTTGATGGAGACCAGGGAGGCGAGGGGCAGGTGCGGGTTCTGGGGCGGCAGCAGCGAGTAGGTGACCTGAGCGTTGGTGCCTGAGTCTCTGTCTGTGGCGCTGACACTGCCGATGTGCAGGGCGGGGCTGTTGTTCTCGCGGACGAACAGGGTGTAGGAGGTTTGGGTGAAGGCGGGGGCGTTGTCATTGACGTCGGAGACCCGCAGGGTTATGTTGTACTCGGTTTTCAGCCTGGGTGTCCCCAAGTCTGTGACAGTAATGGTGATGTTGTACTCGGCCCTGCTCTCTCTGTCTAGCGCTCCTTCTGTTAACAAAGTGTAGAAATTTTCTAAGGTAGGTTTTAGAAGGAAAGGGAGATGGTCTTGGATGGAACACATCATTTTTCCATTGTTCCCGGAGTCCGGATCCGAAATTCCGAAAACAGCGACCACTGTTTCTGGGGAGTTTTCTAGGATATCACTGATAAGTAAGGACATAGTAAGTTCCGGTGCGTTGTCGTTTATATCCATTACCTCTATGGCTACGGTGCATTTTCCTGAAAGACCCCCACCGTCTGAGGCCTCAACTTCCATGTGATAAGATTGAATTTCCTCAAAATCCAACGCCTTTTTAAATCTAATTTCTCCCGTGATTGAGTTTATTTCAAAGGCCTGAATGATTTGATTGGAGTATTGAAAAAATGAATAGGAGAGCTCCCCGTGGGTCCCAGCATCTAAATCCCTGGCAGAGACGGTGATGACAAGGGAACCTATAGGGGTGTTCTCTGGGACCTGCACCTCGTAGCGCCGCTGAGCAAATTCAGGGACGTTGTCATTGATATCTACAATCACTATGAGAACCTGGGAAGTCCCAGTTCTGGGCGGTGACCCACCATCCAGCGCTGTGAGGGTTAACCTGAGCTGGGGCTGCTCCTCGCGGTCCAGCGCTTGATCCAGCACGAGCTCTGGGTATTTCTTGCCGTCGCTGTGATTGCGAGTGAAAAGGTGGAAATAGGAGTTGGTGCTAATTGAGTAGTTCTGAACTGTGTTGCTACCTACGTCCAAATCTTGAGCTATTTTCAAAGGAAATGAAGTCCCTGGATGGCTGCCTTCGGAGATTTTCAGGAGGATTTCATTTTCCAAGAATTCTGGGGCATGGTCATTTACATCTTGGAGCTGTAGTTCACCTTGAATAAACTGCACCGGATTTTTCAGTAACATCTGGAAATGTAGTATACATGGATCTATGTCACCGCACAACTCTTCCCGGTCCAATTTTTCTTTTAGGAGCAAATTCCCACTCTTCCGTTCGAGCTGCAAATACTGTTTGTTCCCTTTGGAAAGAATCCGGGCGCCTCTCGCGGCCAGTTCCCCTACACCCAGCCCCAGATCTTTTGCTAAGTTGGCCACAAAAGAGCCGCTGTCCCTCTCTTCTAGAACTGAATACTTAATCGTAGCGCTGCCCGCCTCCCACAGTAGTAATAAGAAAATAATGGCGGTCACTTGCCTTTTCTCTGGTGCTTTGGGGAGCGGCGTCTCCATCATTCCTCAGGGTCCAAAAGATGCAGTATTTAATCACAAAATAATTGCTTTACAGCCAACTCAGCTATCTTGATTTAAATATCTTGAGTTAGTTCTTTTTAACATTGACCGACATGGGATGGCTGCCTCTCTGAAACCTATCCCCAGTAGTGAAAAAGTGTTTCCTTTTGGAGCTGCCAGAAAACCCGCACAGCTTTTAAGGAGACACTGATTCTGCAGTTTTTCACTCAGCCTGCAGCGCCACCAAGCGTTCTGCTTTACAACTTCAGATAATTTTCATTTCAAAGCACACTGTATACTGTAATAGCTAAAACATATAGCAGGCCTTTTAGGTCATAGCCTGTTATATACTCCCTTTTCCCCCGGCTATTATGAGGCCTTGTTCAGGTAGCTAAGAATGGTTGTTACAGCAAAAGTAATGTCTGTATCTATATTCATCTTCCTTATAAAGGTGCAGGTTCAGTACACAAAACTCTGCTCCAGGCAAATTCATTTATTAACAAGTATTTACCTGTAGGGACATTCATGTAGCTTCCTGGGATAATACAGTAAATGAAACATAAAAATTCTTGCTCTTGGGGAATTTACATTCTATTACAAAAATGCTAATTTGTTCTATTGTACTGGAAGAAATCATGAACTTTCAAAATCTAGTTTCATTCTCATATTGTAATGTGCCTGTAACTCCCGAAAGAAAATAAAAATATTGTTTCTTGTTAGTCTCTGGTCTACATAACCATTGGGAATTTTTTGTTTTTTTTTTTTGAGACGTGGTCTCACTCTGTTGCCCAGGCTGGAGTGCAGTGGCCTCAATCTTGGCCCACTGCAACCTCTACCTCCCAGGTTCAAGCGATTCTCCTGACTCAGCCTCCTGAGAAGCTAGGACTACAGGTGCGTGCTACCACACCAGGCTAATTTTTGTAGTTTTAGTAGACATGACATTTCACCATATTGGCCAGGATGGTCTTGAACTCCTGGCCTCAAGTGATCTGCCTGCCTCGGCCTCCCAAAGTGCTGGGATTACAGGCTTGAGCTACCATACCTGGCCACCATTTAGGACTTTTTTTCCTTCATAAATTTATTATGTGCAATGCCCAGTGAAATTTAGAGAAAATGGTGGTTTGTCTTATTAAAAATCAATATAGGCCAGGTGTGGTGGCTCACGCCTGTAATCCCAGCACTTTGGGAGGCTGAGGTGGGTGGATCACTGGAGGCCAAGAGTTTGAGACCAGCCTGGCCAATATGGTGAAACCTCGTTTCTACTAAAAATATAAAAATTAATTGGGTGTGGTGGTGCACACCTGTAGTCCCAGCTACTCAGGAGGCTGAGGCAGAAGAATCACTTGAACCTGGGAGGTGGATGTTGCAGTGAGCTGAGATTGTGCCACTGCATTTCAGCCCGGGTGACAGAGCAAGACTCTGTCTCAAAAAAAAAAAAAAAAAATCAATATAAGCTCAGAATCTAGGCAATGTCTTTTCTACAGATGTAAAGAAGACAACAAAGTTGACAAAGTCAAAAATACACTGTCTGGGGAAGGGTATTGACCTGTCTGCATTGGACAGTATACTACCCCAGTGTACATTCTCTAGGATTAGGGGGATGGGGATATTGAAAAACACTACTGCTCCAACTAAAGCCAAGTGACTGGAGTGAGAACAATGGAAGAAGGAATCTCACCAAGGAAGAATGCTGTTCTAAGGAGAATAGGGTATATATCTGAGAACACAAAATAGTAAATGTTCCCCACACTCATTTAATCAGTTGGTAATCATCCATGACAGTCAGTTCACTTATCTGGACACAAAACACAGTCAAATGTAATTTAGTTCAGCCCAGTTCCACTTCAATTAAGGATAAAAATAAAATAGTCAGCCAGGTGTGGTGGCTCACACCTGTAATCCCAGCGCTTTGGGAGGCTGAGGCGGGTGGATCATGAGGTCAGGAATTCGAGACCAGCCTGGTCAAGATGGTGAAACCCTGTCTCTCCTAAAAATACAAAAATTAGCTGGGTTTGGTGGCATGCGCCTGTAATCTTAGTTACTAAGGAGGCTGAGGCAGGAGAATCACTTGAACCAGGGAGGCGGAGGTTGCAGTGAGCGAAGATCGCACCATTACAGTCCAACCTGGGCAACAAGAGCAAAACTCCGTCTCAAAATAAAATAAAATAGTCACTGAATTGTTATTTTAATATACATTGCTTGCCTTTGATAGAAAGTTGAAAGAGGGATTTTTAAATGAAATATCACAAATACAGCTGACACAAATAAGACTAGATATGGGCTAAACTGTGAAGGTAAATGGTGTAATGGTTAATACAAGCAAATGATGCTTACACAACACTAGAAGGGAAAATCTGATGTTACCGAATAACCTGCCACTAATACCTTACTTAGATCTTGGTAGATATCAAACATCTTGAGAAAGTGAGAGGAGGAGTTTGGCAAATATAATTTGAAATCTTTCAACTTTCAAATTGTGAGACAAAGAAAAAAAGATAAAATATGCTGTTAAGCATTTTATTTTCTGTAGCGGTGTGTAGGGTGAGTAGAAGAGTCAAAGCTGTTTTCTGTTTTGAAGGAAAGCAACAGTGATTTGACTAAGAAGTGATATTTCATACTTTCACTCATTGGTAAGGATATTTTATTGTAGAGAGGATATTAGCATTTCGCTGTAGATACAATAGTTTTTTTAAAAAATCAATACTAGAATGTTAGTAACATTCAGCAAATATTTATTAAGCACTTATAATTGGCACGACTTTTTTTTTAAAAAAAGACCATCATGTTCTTACATGAGGCTCACAAACTAATGTGTTGACACTTCAGTAAAGTCTATAGTCACAAAAATTTTGGATTGACTATTATGGGATACTAAAATATGCATAAGTATGAATGGCTACTTTAGTGTTTAGCCATCATTAGTTCTTATTTTTAGTGTTACACACTGTAGGAGTTACTGCAAAATGAGACATTGGAGGATTAAATAATATCAGATACTCACATTTTAAACAGTCCTACATAGCAATAGTGAAACAACTCTTACCAATAGCTAGAAATACAATTTTACTTAAGGATTTACAATACTTTTTTTTGGGGGGGGGAAGAATAGATAATTTAATTTCAAAAGCTTAAAATTATGCAAATAAAAATTTACTTTTTGTTCATATTGTCAAGTACCCTCAAGTGAAGTAATAAACTACTAAGCATGAACAGGAAATACTAAGATACCAGTATCTTACTTTATATAAAATTTCAACCTAAAGAATAGAGGTAAAATAAACAAGAAACAGACCATGTAACTTTAAGTTAAAAGAGATCTCCAAACATAAGTAAGATTTAGTAAAATAATCCCACACTTAACTGAACGGGAAGCTATTCCGAGAGGTGGGGGTTTCTTCCATTTCTCTCTCAGTGCCCTGAGGAGGGAAGTTGGGCATAATCGGCTTCAGGAACTTGAACTCATTTGTTTCTGAGCCTCCCGTCAGACACACCTTGTACTGGTAGCTCTGGGATAGGGTCCCGGTGCCGCTCACATCCACCAGATGCCCTGGAAAGGGACCCTCGGGCACCGAGTAGCGACCCACCGAGGCCGCCCTGCTCCTCCTGCACAGCCGCACCGCCACGAACAGGAGCACCGAAAAGAGGAAGAGCGACGACACCGAGGCCAACGCCACCACCAGGTAGACGGTGAGAGAGTCGGCCTGGGCTTGGGCCGGGGCCGCCTCAGGGAGAGGCAGGTAGGGCTGGGAGAAGCCGTCCACCAGGAGCACGTGCAGCGTGGCGGTGGCCGAGCGCGGAGGCTCGCCATTGTCCTTGACAAGCACCACCAGCCTGTGCTTGGCTGCGTCTCGCTCGCTCAGCAGCCTGGCGGTGCGCACCTCGCCATTGTGCGCCCACACGCCGAACAGACCGAGCTCCGTGGCCTTGAGCAGCTGGTACGACAGCCAGGCGTTCTGGCCCGAGTCGCCGTCCACCGCCACCACCTTGGTCACCAGGTAGCCCGGCTCGGCCGCCCGGGGCACCAGCTCGGTGCAGGGCGCGGAGCCGTTCTGCAGCGGGTACAACACGAAGGGCGAGTTGTCGTTGGCGTCCAGCACCAGCAAGCGCACCAGCGCCTCGCTGCTCAACGCCGGGGAGCCGCGGTCTGTGGCGCCCACGCGGAACTCGAAAGACTGCAGGGCCTCGTAGTCCAGCGACCTGAGGGCAAACAGGTGGCCGTTGTCCGCGTTGATGGAGACCAGGGAAGAGAGGGGCAGGTGCGGGTCCTGGGGCGGCAGCAGCGAGTAGGTGACCTGGGCGTTGATGCCTGAGTCTCTGTCTGTGGCGCTGACGCTGCCGATGTGCAGGGCGGGGCTGTTGTTCTCGCGGACGAACAGGGTGTAGGAGGTTTGGGTGAAGGCGGGGGCGTTGTCATTGACGTCGGAGACCTGCACAGTTATGCTCTGCTGGGTTTTCAGCCTTGGTGTCCCCAAATCAGTGACCGTGATAGTGATGTTGTACTCGGCTCTGCTCTCTCTGTCCAGCGCGCCTTCTGTTACCAGGGTGTAGAAATTCTCCACGGAAGGTCTTAGTAGAAAGGGGAGATTGTTCTCTATTGAACAAATAACCTGTTGGTTATGTCCAGAGTCTGCATCTGAAACACTGAAAACTGCCACTGTGATCTCTGGTAAGTTTTCTGGGATGAGGCTGATGAAGAACGACATGGTGAGTTCAGGGGCATTGTCATTCACGTCCAGGACCCTGACGACTAAAGAGCATTTTCCTGATAGGCCTCCACCATCTGTAGCCTCAACATCCACGTCATAAGACTGAATTTCCTCAAAATCCAAAGCCTTTCTCAGCCGAATTTCTCCTGTGATTGCGTTTATTTCGAAGGGTTGGTTGACGTCATCGACTTGAAACAGGGCGTAAGATACCTTCCCAAACGATCCTGCATCTAAATCTCTGGCTGAGACGGTAATAACCAGAGAGCCGAGGGGGTTGTTCTCAGGGACTTGTGCTTCATAGAGCTCCTGAGCAAACTCGGGGACGTTGTCATTGATGTCCAAAACCTGGATCTGAATCTCGGAGGTCCCTGACCGGGGCGGAGACCCGCCATCCAGCGCGATCAGCGTTAGCCTGAGTTGGGGCTGCTCCTCGCGGTCCAACGGTTTGTCTAGCACCAGCTCCGGGAACTTCCTGCCTTCGCTGCGATTGCGGGTGAGAACGTGGAAGTGAGGGTTGGAGCTGATTGTGTACCTCTGAAGGCCGTTGCTGCCGGTGTCTAAATCGTGTGCCATTTTCAAAGGAAATATCTTTCCTGGCATAGTAATTTCTGATATTTTCAGGAGCATTTCTCTGGCAGGGAATTCCGGGGCGTGGTCATTTATATCTCTGACTCGCAAGGAAGCCTGAAAAAACTGCAAGGGGTTTTCCAGTAACACTTGGAAAGGTAGCACACACGGCTCAGTGGAGCCACACAGCTCCTCCCGGTCCAGTTTTTCATTTAGCAGTAAATCATGGGTCTGTGGATCAAACTGCAAATGTTGTCTGTTCCCTTTGAAAACAACCCGAGCGCCCCGCGAAGCCAGCTCCCCCACCCTCAGTCCCAGGTCCTTTGTCAAGTTGGCCACAAACGTGCCACTTTCTGTCTCCTCCAATACGGAATACTGAATCGATTCAGAACCCACCTCTCCCCAAAGCATCAATAAAATGAAGAAAGCCACTTGCCTTTTCTTGTTCTGTACTTTAGTTTGCATCATGTCTATTATGTCTGAATACGGAAGAAAAATCCTTTTCAGCTCCCAATCACCACATCTACCGTCGACCCTCTCGGATGTCTTTGCAGAGATTTTTAAATTCGTTCTTACAACTTGTCTGGCGACGACTGCCTTCCCGGACACATCTATCTCAGCTTTAGCTGTAAACGTGGTCTGTATTTTTACTTGGCTTCTGGATGAAACGGAGTCCACCGAGTCTGCAGAGCTTTCATTCACTCTCTTAGCTTGTACCGCCACCACGCGTTCAAACTAATAACTTCATGAGATGTTTTCAGGTCAATAGCATTTCAGAAATCTGAGCATTATAAAGACTTTTAAGTCGAGTCAGTGTTTCTCAAACTGAGTGCGTGGACCGCATGCATAAATAATTGCTTGCGAGCGTTGGTTTTTTTGTGTGTATGTTTTTGTTTTTAAGCCAATTCCTGGGTTCACTCCCCTCTAGAACTTGAATCAAATTCCCTGGTGGTGCTAATTAAGGAGAAAGATTGAAGTGCAGATTCTACACTTCAGTCTTTCTCCTTTGATGCTTCAGCAGTGCAATTTATCTCTGATGAACTATTTAATCTATTAGTCCAAGAGGTACACTATTTAATTGTCCCAACAAACAATGCAAAACAACGAAGTTTGTTAGCAACAATAATGGTAAAATAAACAATAAATTATCTAAATTATATGACTCATAAATGGCATGAAAAAAAAAACCTACTTTGTTATATAGTTATGCCTGCACAGTAAAAAGAACAATTAGGCTATTAGGAGGAAAACTGAGGCCAAGAAGTACGTATGATACATGTATCTAAGTAAATTAAAGTATTTAAAAGAGGGACTAGAAGCAATCAAGTAGTTGTCATAAGCATTTTAGGATTCTACTCCATTTTTGCATGGATAGAATTAGACATTGTTTTAACAGTCTTGTGCATTTTATTTTTTGATCAAATTCCCCTCTTACATTATTTAATCAAGGTCCAAATATATTACCGTGTTGTACAAACATGATGCAACACAGAAAACAAACATTCAAGAATCACCTTCACCGTCTTCTCACAGCAAAAAGAACACCAAGTCCAATAAATACAGGCCAAATTAAGGTACTGTTAAAACAGGTGAGTTACATTTGAGTGAATGCCATGGAATTCAATGATGGAATATTATGGCTATATCCATTCCCATCTCACTAGTTTCTACTCAGATACATTGGAACATGTATCTCTAAACAAACTGAAAATGTGTGAAATAGATTAGTGCACATAGAAGAGGTAAAATATGCCAAACAATTCAATTCATTTCAGATTAATTTCATATTTATTGAGAGGTGAAATCAATTGAGTTCAAACAAAGTTCACTTCAGGTAAGGGCCAAGGTGATAGAAGATTAAAAATCAAGATATTTTCAAATACATAAATGCTAGGCAAAACAAATAAGGCTAAATAAAATCTAAACTCTGAATAGCTGAGATGATCTTGTAGTTCAAAATCACCTCTATGTAGCCAGAAAAACAAAAGATTATGAATGTGACCAGCCTCCAGGGTTCACTTGATAGATGCTACTGGGAACACACTGTTCCTTGAGAATGTAACAAAATGAAATTATGAAATAAACCAACAATAATAAACATATTGGACTGGTGTCATCTCTTTGCTGAAACAAGGCCATTATTTCCTGCTCAATCTTAAATGCTTCCTTCTTTCGGTGAGCATTCTGAGTTCTGATTCCAGCTTAACGGCATCCACAAAGTCTTTTATTCACTCTGTTTCTCTGAAGCACCACCAGGCATCCTCGAATATAGGTTGTTGAATTATTTTTTTACGTCAGAGCAAATTTATCAGCAGTACAGTATTTGTCAAACTCCATTTAGATCCTTGAAATGTCTTTGATAACATTGGTAGTTATATAGAAAGAGGATAATAGCTCAAAGTACCCCAAAAAGATATCAGTTGGGTCTATCAAGAAACTGCCTTTTTATAGAAAATGGATTACGTTAGATTGTTTCAGGAGAATGTTTCTCTGTGTTGCCCTCTTTTGCTTTGATTTGATTGACTAGAGTAGAGTTGAATTAAGTTTGCATTCGTAAACATGTTCTCACAAGGACTCATTAACTTAAAATTTTTATTATGGAAAAATTCTAACATATACAAAGTAAACAGAATAAGCCTCTGTACACAATCAGTTTCACAACATTCTGTTGTCTTGTTTTGTCTATACCTTTCTCTCCATTCTCTGCTTCCCGCTTAATGATTACTTTTGTATAGTTCTTTTCTTAAGGCAATGTTTACAGAAATTGAAATGCACCAATCTTAACTGTACCATTTTAACAAATGGATTCATGTGTGTAACTCACACTTTTTTCAAGATACGGAACATTTTCATCATTCACTGGAAATCATCTTAATCATATTTTGAAGCTCAGTTTTGTTAACTGGGGAGCAAAACCTTGGTCTCATCTGGACACATGATGGAAAAGTAGACAATGTGAAAAAGCACCATGCCCCATATTCTTTATGCTCATGTATGCTAAAGTGAAGTGATAGATTAATTTAGCTGGACTGTTACCAGCAAGCTGAAATAGTATTTCAACTGACTGAACATTGTAAAGTATGTTAAAATTAATTTTATTTAGTTAGCCTGTAATGACAGGTTGAACAGCCCTTGTCCAAAATGCTTGAGACCAGAAGTGTTTCAGATTTCAGATTTTTTAGATATTAGAATATTTGCATGTACATACCGGGATATCTTGGTAATGAAAACCAAGTCTAAACATGAAATTCATTTAAGTTTCATATACATCTTATACAAATAGGCTGAAGGTAATTTTGCTTAATATTTTTAAACAATTTTGTGCATGAAACAAAGTTTGCATTACGTACTTATGTGTGGAATTTTCTACTTGTGGCATCAGGTTGGCTCAAAAAGTTTTGGGTTTTGGAGCAGTTCCTATTTTTGGATTTTTGGATTAGGGATGCCCAACCTGTACCTGTACTACATAGCTGATCAAGCTGATTTCCATTTTATGTTTCAGTTAATCCCATTATAATTTTAAAAAATTATTCAAGTTTATCAAAAGAGAAAGGAAAAGACCTTCAAGGACAAATTGAATCTCTTAAAACTCTTCTTTAGTTATATAGAAAGAAAAACATAGTAATACAGGGAAAAGTTAGAGATGATATATAAGCAATCACTTAAAGAAACTCAATTAACAGGAGATATGTTGCAAGGAAGTTGAAAATATAAAGGATTTGATACTAAATCACATTTGAAATCTGAAATGATTGGGTAAGACTTTTTGTCAGTATTGCTAGAGGTTTGTCATTTTTTAAAATGTTTTTCAAAGAACCAGTTCTTTGTTTCTTTATTGCTTTCTCTATTTGCTTTGAATTTTCTTGATTTCTTCTATTATCTTTGTTATTTCCTTATTTCTGAATGCTTTGGGTTTATTTTCCTCATCTTTTTCTAGATTCTCGAGGTAGAAGCTTGAAACTGATAAACTGGTGGGTGACCAGTTTGAGAATTTTCCTCTTTTCTAATGTACATATTTAGTGCTATAAAATTTTCCTCTCTGCACTGTGTTAGCTATGTCTCACAAAATTTGATGTGTTGTATTTTCACTTTCAATTCAGGTCAATGTATTTTTAAATTTCCCTTGAGATATTCTTTTTGATTCATAGATTATTTAGAAGTATGTTGCTACATATCCGTGCACTTGAAGGTTTTCCTCTTATCTTTCCATTATTCATTTTTAGTTTAATTTCATTGTGCGTAGAGAACCCACTCTGTACGATTTCACTATTAATTTGGTTGAGGTCAGTTTTACGGCTGAGGTTGTGGTTATCTTATACAGGTTCTGTGAGCATTTGAAAATAATGTGTATTCTGGTATTGTTTATTCTGGTGTATTCTAGTATTTTTTATTCTGGTGTATTCTAGTATTTTTTATTCTGGTGTATTCTGGTATTGGAGTGTTCTGGTGTATTCTGGTATTGGAGTGTTTTATAAATATTAATCAGATGCTGTTAGTTGATGGTGTTATTGAGTTCTTCTATATCTCTGCTGATTTTCTGTCTTGTTGGTCTATCAGTTGTTGAAGGTCATTGAAGTCTCCAATTGTAATTAATTGTGGATTTCTCTATTTCTCCTTCTGTCAGTTTTTGCTTCATACATTTTGCAGTTTTGTATATATACATTTGGGATTGCTATGTTTTCTTCTTTTATCACTATATAATATCCCACTATGTCTCTGATATGTCCCATGCTGTCTCTGATGCTTTTCTTTGCTCTCATGTCTACTTTATATGACATTATGGCTACTCCTGCTTTATTAATTAATTTATCTATTCAGTTATTTATTTATTCTTATTTTTATTTATTTATTTATTTTTGAGACAGAGTTTTGCTCTTGTCTCCCAGGCTGGAGTGCAATGGTATGATCTCGGCTCACAGCAACCTCCACCTCCCAGGTTCAAGCAATTCTCCCGCCTCAGCCTCCGGAGTAGCTGGGATTACAGGCGCCCATCACCACAGCAGCTAATTTTGTATTTTTAGTAGAGATGGGGTTTCACCATGTTGGCCAGGCTGGTCTCAAACTCCTGACCTTAGGTGATCCTCCTGCCTCAGCCTCCCAAAGTGCTGGGATTACAGGCATGAGCCACTGCACCCAGCTCCTGCTTTATTTTTACATTAATAATTGTATGCATTTTTGTCTTTTTACTTTCAAACTGCATATATCATTATATTTGAAATTAATTTTGAGACATATAGTTGGGTCATGATTTTTTAAACCCATTCTCCCAATGTTTGTTTTAATTGATGTGCTCAAACCATTTACATTAACATAATTATTGATTAGTAGAGATTAACTCTGCCATTTTTTGTTTCCTGTTTGTTTTCTCTGTTTTTTTGTTTGTCTCTCTGTTTTCATTTTTCTAACTTCCTGTGGGTTATTGGAACATTTTTTTAGAATTCTGTTTTGATTTAGCTGTAGTGGGTTGTTTTTTTGAGTGTATCACTTTTTATAGCTTTTTACTGATTACTCTAGGTATTATACTATATATACGCAACTTATCAGTTTACTGATTGATATCACTAACTGATATTTTTACCAGTTCAAATGAAGCATAGAAAATGTACCTCCCTGTGTGTCCTTTTACCCTCCTTCATTTATAATATGTTTAAAATATTTCCTGTACATACACTTAGGACCACATTTAGAAAGTGTTATAATTTTGGATTCAACCACCAAACATAATTTAGGAACCTCAAGAGAAAAAGAAAAGTCTATTGTATTTACTCATATTTTTGTTTCTTGTGTTGTTTCTTCCTTCTTGATATTCCAAGATTGCTTTTTAAATTGTTTCCTTTCTGTTTGGAGAACTTGCATTAGCAAATATTTTAAGGTAGGTATACTGGCAACAAATTCTTTCCCTGAAGGATAGTTCCACTGGATATAGGATTTGGGGATGACAGTTGTTTTCTTTCAGCACTTGAAAAATATTGTGCAACTTCCTTCTGTCCTCCATGGTTTCTGATGAGGAATCTACTCTCATTCAAATTGTTACTGCCCTGTAGGTAAGGTGTCATTTCTCCTTCACTGCTTTAAAGATGTTTTGTCCTTAGTTTGCAGAAATTTCACTATGATGCCTCGGTGTGGATTCCTTTGGGTTTATCCTGTTTGGGATTTGTTCAGCTTCTTGAATCTCTGGTTTATGCCTTTTGCCAATTTGCTTAGTTTCCAGCCATTATTTCTTTGAGTACTTTTTTTAGCTCCACCCTCCTTCTGGCCTCCTTCTGGGACTCCAGTGACACAAAGGTTAGTTCTTTTGGTATGCCCCCACAGGTTCCTGAGCCTCTGTTCATTTTTTATGCTCTATTTTCTCTGTCCTGTTCAGAATGGGTAATTTCTATTGTTCCATCTTCTGGTTCATTGATTCTTTGTTCCCTCCATTCTGCTGTGGAGCCCATATCTTGAGTTTTTATTTCAATTATTATATCTGGGTTTTTCTTTCTTTTTTTTTTTTTTTGAGACAGTCTTGCTCTGTCACCCAGGCTAGAGAGCAGCGAGGCAATCTTGGCTCACTGCAACCTCCCCGCTTCCTGGGTTCAAGTGATTCTCCTGCCTTAGCCTCCCAAGTAGTTGGGATAACAGGCATGCACCACCACACCTGGCTAATTTTGTACTTTTAGTAGAGACGGGGTTTCACCATGTTGGCCAGGCTGGTCTCGAATTCCTGACCTCAGGTGATCCACCAGTCTCGGCCTCTCAAAGTGCTGGGATCACAGGTGTGAACCACTGCACCCGGCCCCATTATTATAACTTTAATTTCTAAAATTTCCATAGGCATTTCTTTATATCTTTCATTTCTTTGCTGAGACTGTTTTTCATTTGTTTCAAATATGTTCATAATTGCTCATTTAAACATTTTGATGAGCTCTGTTTTTAAAATTTGTCAGATAATTCTAACATCTGTCATCTTGGTGTCAGCATCTCCTTGTTGTCATTTTCATTCACTTTAATATTTTCCTGATTCTTGGTATGACCCAGATAGTCCCTTCCTGGATGTGCCTGTACCCAAAAGGAACCCTTGCCCAAATGTATGAGGCAATATATTCAAGAATGCTTATAGCAGCATTGTTTATAGTAACAAAACTCTTAGAACAACCAAAAAGTAAATCATTAGTAAAAAGAATTTAAAGTTCATAGTATTCCATTTATATAATGGAATACTATAGAACAGTTAAGTGAATAAACTGAATTAACATGGATAAATTCAATACCATAATGATTAAAAAGAGCAAGTTCACAGAGGATCCATACTATATAAATTCATTTGTATCAATTGCAAAGACAGATACAACTAAATGGTAAGTCATTTAGGAATACATGCTTTTCTATTGCAAATATAAAGAAGAACAAACAATTAAGTAAAAATTCAGAAAACTGGTTCTTTTTCATAGGGTTGAAAGATGTTATGGTGGAGGCATAACATCTTGGCATCATTCTAGTTCTTAAGCTGGGTAATGGGTAGATGAGTGACCATGTTATTATTGTTTATTATTATTATTGTACATATATGTTGTATACACTCTTTTGAATTTTGATAGATTTTAAAATAGAAAAAAGTAAAAACAAACAAACAGCAATTTCTGAGCTGGGCATGGTAGCATCTGCCTGCTACTCAAGAGGCCAAGGCAAGAGGATCACTTGAGCTGAGAAGTTGAAAACCAGCCTGGGTAACATAGCAAGACCTTGTCGCTAAAAAAAAAAAAAAAGTTCTTTCATAAAAATGAAGCAATTTCTCTGGAGTCAGGCTGCCTGGATTCAAATTCTACTTCTGCCTCTTATTAGCTAGGTGACTGTTGAAATCCTAACCCCCAACGTGATGGTAGGAAGTAGGGCTTTGAGTGGCAATTAGGTCACGAAGAAGCAGCCCTGAATGAGATTAGTGCATTTATAAAAGTGATTCCAGAGAAGAAGCAGCCCTGAATGAGATTAGTGCATTTGTAAAAGTGATTCCAGAGAATTCTCTTGCCTTTTTTTCTGCCATGTGAGGATACAAGGAGAAGTCTGCACTCTGAAACCTGGAAGAGGGCCCTCACCAGAACTCAACCATGCTAGCACCCTGATTTTAGACTTCCAGCCCTAACACTGTAAGAAATTACTTTCTGCTATTTATAAGCCACTCAATCTATAGTATTTGCTACAGCAGCCCAAACTGATTAGGACAGTGACCTTGGGCAAATTGCTTTACCTCTGTGTGCTCCAGTTTGTTCACCCTGAAAATATAGACACTAATTGTACCATTATTTTGACGATTAAATGAGTATGTATAAAGTATTTAGAAAATAGCCAAGTACACTGAAAGTATGTAGTAGTAATAATAGTACATAATATATAATAATGTTTAATAATAAAGTTCGTAGAAACTTGAATATGCCACTAAGACTAAAAATTCATTAGAAATGCTCAAAAATAAAGTGAGAGACTTCAGAACATAGAAGAAAAGCTAAAGATGTAAAATAAAAAAGAATATAAGAAACAGAAATAATTAAGAATATTCAATATCTGACAAGCACAAGTTTCAGAAGGAAATAACAAGATTAAACTTAGGGATACAACTATTAAGAAAATAATAGTAGAAATGGGCCAGGCACAGTGGCTCACACCTGTAATCCCAGCACTTTGGGAGGCTGATGCAGGTGGATCACTTGAGGCCAGGAGTTTGAGACCAGCCTAGCCAATATGGTGAAACCCCAACTCTATTTTAAAAAAAAATTAGCTGGATGTGGTGGTGTGTGCCTATAGTCCCAGCTGCTCAGAAGGCTGAGTCAGGAAAATCATTTGAGCCTGGGAGGCAGAGGTTGTAGTGAGCCGAGACTGCAGATTGCACCACTGCACTCCAGCATGGGCAACAGAGCAAGATTTGTCTCAAAATAATAATAATAATAGAAATGAAGTAATCCCAGAGATAAAAAGGTATAAATTGTTAGAATCATAAGTACATTGAGTGTTCAGTCAAAGGAATGAAAAAATTATAATACTATTATGAAATTCAAGACATCTAAAAAGAAGAGAGAAAATTCTGAGGGAAGGAGACACAGAAGATTCCTTTCTCTACAGAAATATGGAGAGAGAGAGAGAGATGGGGGTATAAAAAAATCAACAATCACACTGGCATAAAATTTTTATCAAAAATTATGAATCAATAATCAACACATTAATGATTTTAAATTTCCAAGCAATAATTCTGTGTCTGGCCAAATCATCAATTAAATATGAAGGAAAACTAAATGCATTTTAGGCAGAGACACAGAAATTGGCTTTTTTGTGAACTCTCCTTTAGGAAGACATTTCAGGATATATTGTAGCAAAGAGAGGGAATAAAAAGGGAGACAAGTGATCTGTTAAATAATGCACTCAACCAAGAGAGGTATGAAGACAAGATGACAGTTTTGTACAGACCTAAAGATCATTTAGTCCAGATGGAAGCAGAAAGCTAGAGGGCTTCAGGTTAGAAAAGATGGTAAAGTGAATTATTGATTGAGATTTTGAAAATATGGTAAAGCCAACTAATGGAGTCTAAAATGATGACTCTATTTGGTCTTGATTTTAGGAACATAACTGTTTTCAATGGTACAGGAAGTGCAACATTGGATCCAAAGAGCAGGAAAGATAGTCCCTATCACTAAAACATAAAGTGAGAGACATCAGGACATAGAAGAAAAGCTAAAAATGTAAAATAAAAGAGAAATATAAGAAACAGAAAAATAAGAATATTCAATATCTTTTTTGTTTGTTTTTTAAATTTTTATTAAGAATATTTAATAACAGACAAGCACAAATCTCAGATGGAAATAACAAGATTAAACTTAGGGATACATTATCAAGAAAATAATAGTAGAAATTAAGTAATCTCAGCTCTAAGATTACTTAGATCCATAAGCAATCCCAGACTATACTTAGAGGTTTCAGTAAGTAATATGGCTCTGCAATGAACAATATTTTGAGAAGAGAATCAGCCCAACAACGTGGAACTGTTCTGACACTCACAGGTTGGCCATAATCTTCTCCTATTGAATGCAAATAATTTCATATAACACCAAGACCAGAAAATAACCTTATAACCCGGTTGGAGCCAGACTTCATGCCTGAGGAGACAATGTCTAAAAAAAAAAAAAGAAAAAGACAAAAGAGCTCTTTTTCCTTGCTAGTATGAGTGAATGCTGCTTATTTACCAATTATAGATTTAATTTCAGTGTTTTTCCCACTTCTTAAATGAAATTCATTAAAATAATATAGAATTACCCAATTTTCTGAAAGCATCCAATCCAGAGCTAACCTCTACTTCTTGAACCTCTGTTAAAACCACCTAACAGAAGACCAAATCCTATAACTCCTCTGCAAGACCCTGTTACTAAAGTGACCTCTGTTTCCTATTGTGTGCAGTCTCCTTCATTGCAACAAGTCAATAAACCCAACTTTGTTCTGATTCGGTGTGTTCTTGGTGATTTGGGACTGCAGGGCATTCATAATTTATATAGTCATTAAAAGTAAATTTTAAATATTATCTTCTAAAATATATCTATAGATGGCCAGGTGTGGTGGCTCACACCTGTAATCCCAGCACTTTGGGAGGCCAAGGTGGGCGGATCCCCTGAGGTCAGGAGTTCGAGACCAGCCTGACCAACATGGAGAAACCCCATCTCTACTAAAAATACAAAAATTAGCTGGGCATGGTGGCACATGCCTGTCATCCCAGCTACTCGGGAGGCTGAGGCAGGAGAATCGCTTGAACCCGGAAGGCGGAGGTTGCAGTGAGCCGAGATCGTGCCACTGGACTCCAGCCTGGGCAACAAGAGCTAAACTCCGTCTCAAAATAAAATAAAATAAAATAAAATATATCTATAGACAAGACAAGGAATTCTTAGCTATGGTTGTAAAAATAAAATGTAAGAGTAGAAGTTCAACTGAGAGAGGTTGGAAAGTGTTAAGAGAGAAACAGATATAAAAAGAAGAATAAGAATGCTATTCTTTTCTTCATACAAAAATCTAATGAAACTGTTGTTACTGGAACAATAAAGAAAGGTTTCAGATTGACCAGAGAAGTACCCAAAAATAGTAATATAGATACCTCTGAAAAACAAAAGATTGAAGTTGTTTTAAGTGTGCTAGTTACTCAGCAATCATGATAGGAAATTAATTGTCTAAAGTTTGTGAAAGTTACTACATTAGTTTGTGATGGCTGCTGTAACAAATACCACAGACTGGGTGGCTTAAACAACAGACATTTCTTTCCTCCCAGTTCTGAAATCTAGAAGTCCAAGATCAAAGTGTTGGCAGGGTTGGTTTCATTTGGAGGCCTCTCTCTTTGGCTTGTAGATGGCTATCTTCTTCTAGTGTCTTCACATAATCATCCCTCTGTGTGTTTACATGTCTGACATCTCTTTCTCTATGTTCTAATCTCCTCATCTTATAAGTACAGCAGTTATATTGGATTAAGTTCTGCCCTAAGGACCCATTTTAATGTGATTACCTGTTTTTAGGGGCCTATCTTTAAACATAGTCACATTCTGAGGTAGTGGGAGTTAGGGTTTCAACATATGAATTTGAGGGGGATATAGGAACACAGTTCAGCTCATAATGGTTACAAACATATTCCTTAGTGATAAGCAAGTAAATATAAGAGCTTTAAAAACTGTATAAAGTGCTTGCCAATGGGATAAAATGAAAAACAGACAATACCAGTTTGTTGGCAGAAATGTGGAAAAATTTGTACATCCAGACACTGGGAATAGCAATGTAAATTAGTACAACCACTGGAAGACTATTGGGAAATGTCTGCTAAAAGTCAACGTGTACTTGCAAGATGGGCAACAATTCCACTCCTAGGCATATACCCAACAAAACTGCATATACAGGTTGGCAAAAGGCATGTTAAAAGAATGTTTATAGCAGTATAATTCATAACAGCCAAACTTTGCCCCATCCCAAATACTGATCTAAAGGATAGATAATAAACTGTGGTATATTCATACAGTGGAATATTATACAGCAATGAGAATGAAAGGACTAAACTTAAAAGCTGTATTATGGATAAATTTCATAAACATAATGCTGAGTGAAAAAAGCCAGACACAAGCAGTTCATACTTTATTACTCCATTTATATAAATTCAGAAGAGGCAAAATTAAACTATGGTATTGGAAGTCAGCATATTTGCTATACTTGGGGTAGTAGTGATTGTAAGGAGTAATTTGTGTGGCACCTGGGGTGCCAGTGATGTTTCATTTTCTCTTCAAGCTGCTGGTAATAAATATGTTACTTTGTGAATATATATTGAGTTGAACATAAAGGATTTGTTCATTTTTCTTCATGTAAGTAATAATTCAATTAAACTGTTTTTAAAAAGTTTGCTAATAGGACTCAGGGCTGCAAAAAAGAGTAAATAGAAGATTGTTTCCTTTTACATATTTTTTCACATATTTCATTTGTTAGCATATGTATGTATTTGTCTTTGTTTTAAACAATTAAAATATGATGATGTGAAACATTTTTAATTTTTGCATTTTAGCATCAAATATATAATACTTAAGAGTGTGATGAAATAGAATGGGCAGAATATATAGAAAATAAAATTAATACTTGATTTTATTAAGGTGGTTTATCACAACAAATACCAACAAGAAGAGAAAAAAATCTCAGGAAAATCAACAGCATGCATGGATTTGGAATGACACTATGTAAATAAATGCAATGAAATAAAATTGACTTTTCAACACTTGGACAGCATGAAGTTCAACAGACAAATCCATTAAAAAGGGAAATAAAAGCTCAATCTCAAGGTGAAATTTTTGTCCATGACACTCTCGAATTCTAGATCTGAAAAAGTTTGGGATAAATGGCAGAAAACAACGCGTCATCACGAGATCTCTAATTTAATCCAAAGCTATTCCGGAAGGCAGCAGTTTTCCCTATTTCTTCACCAGCGCCCTGGGGCAAAAGGTTAGGAATAATCGGCTTCAGGAACTTGAACTCGCCGGCCCCTGAGTCTCCGGTCAAACACACCTCGTAGTGGTAGCTCTGGGATAGGGTCCCGGTGCCGCTCACGTCCACCAGATGCCCTGGAAAGGGGCCCTCGGGCACCGAGCAGCGACCGACCGGGGCCGCCCTGCTCCTCCTGCACAGCCGCACTGCCACGAACAGGAGCACCGAAAAGAGGAAGAGCGACGACACCGAGGCCAATGCCACCACCAGGTAGACAGTGAGCGAGTCGGCCTGGGCCTGGGCCGGGGCCGCCTCCGGCAGCGGCAGGTAGGGCTGGGAGAAGCCGTCCACCAGGAGCACGTGCAGCGTGGCGGTGGCCGAGCGCGGAGGCTCGCCATTGTCCTTGACCAGCACCACCAGCCTGTGCTTGGCCGCGTCGCGCTCGCTCAGCAGCCTGGCGGTGCGCACCTCGCCATTGTGCGCCCACATGCTGAACAGCCCGGGCTCCGTGGCCTTGAGCAGCTGGTACGACAGCCAGGCGTTCTGGCCCGAGTCACCGTCCACCGCCACCACCTTGGTCACCAGGTAGCCCGGCTCGGCCGCCCGGGGCACCAGCTCGGTGCAAGGCGCCGAGCCGTTCTGCAGCGGATACAGCACGAAGGGCGAGTTGTCGTTGGCGTCCAGCACCAGCACGCGCACCAGCGCCTCGCTGCTCAGCGCCGGGGAGCCGCGGTCTGTGGCTCCCACGCGGAACTCGAACGCCTGCAGGGCCTCGTAGTCCAGCGACCTGAGGGCAAACAGGTGGCCGTTGTCCGCGTTGATGGAGACCAGGGAGGCGAGGCGCAGGTGTGGGTTCTGGGGCGGCAGCAGCGAGTAGGTGACCTGGGCGTTGGTGCCTGAGTCTCTGTCTGTGGCGCTGACACTGCCGATGTGCAGGGCGGGGCTGTTGTTCTCTCGGACGAACAGGGTGTAGGAGGTTTGGGTGAAGGCGGGGGCGTTGTCATTGACGTCGGAGACCAGGACCGTTATGTTGTGCTCGGTTTTCAGCCTGGGTGTCCCCATGTCGGTGACAGTGATGGTGATGTTGTACTCGGCTTGGCTCTCTCTGTCCAGTGTTCTCTGTGTCACTAGGGTGTAAAAGTTTTTTAATGTGGGCTTCAAAAGAAAGGGGAGATCATTCTGGATGGAGCAAATCATCCTACCGTTGTCCCCGGAGTCTGGATCAGAAACACTGAAAACGGCAACTACAGTTTCCGGGGCATTTTCTGGGGTAGGGCTGGAGAGCGTAGACATGGTGAGTTCAGGGGCGTTGTCATTCACATCCACCACTTCTATAGCCACAGTGCATTTTCCTGAAAGGCCCCCACCATCTGTGGCTACAATTTCCACGTTATAATATGGAGTTGCCTCGAAATCCAATGCCCTTTTCAGGCGAATTTCTGCTGTTTTCTCGTCTATTACAAATGGTTGAGTAACTTCATCGCCTTGGAATAGAGCATAGGCTACACTCCCATATGCTCCTGCATCTAAATCTCGAGCGGAGACAACGACAACTAAGGAGTTAAGGGGGCTGTTCTCGGGCACCTGTACCTCATAGAATGATTGTAAAAATTCGGGGGCGTTGTCATTATTATCCAAGACGACAATGCGAATTGTGGTGGTCCCGGACCTGGGCGGAGCCCCACCGTCCAGTGCAGTGAGTGTTAAGCTGAGCTCAGGCCGCTCCTCCCGGTCCAGCGCTTTGTCCAGCACCAGCTCTGGGTATTTTCTGCCATCTCCGCGATTATGCGTAGCAACATGAAAGTGTGAATTTGGGCTGATTGTGTAGTTCTGAACAGTGTTGCTACCTATGTCAAAGTCCTGGGCTATTTTTAAGGGAAACACAGTCCCTGGCTGGGTGCTCTCTGGGATTTTTAGGAGCATTTCCTTCTCTGGGAACTCTGGGGCATGGTCATTTATATCTGTGAGCTGCAGATCAGTTTGAAAAAACTGCACTGGATTTTCTAGTAAGAGCTGGAAATGCAATATACAGGGTTCTGTCGCCCCGCACATCACCTCCCGGTCTAGTTTTTCATATAGAAGCAAATTGCCGGTCTTTATATCAAGCTGCAAGAGCTCTTTGTTTCCTTTGTAATGCATTCGCGCGCCCCGAGTGGCCAGTTCCCCCACCCCAAGACCCAGGTCTTTTGCCAGGTTGGCCACAGAATAGCCACTTTCTGTTTCTTCTGGTATGGAATACCTAACTGCCTCAGAGCCAGCCTCCCACAAAAGCAACAATATAGCAAGAAACATAACTTGCCTTTTCTGTGGCGTTTTTGCTAGCGCAGTCTCCATTGTTCAGACCCGGTCCAGAAGGCGCAGTTTAACTCCGTACACAATCCACCCAGATGATTTGCATAAATAACCGCGAATCCGATCTTTCTTGACTGATTTCCACAAGAACGAAGCCCACCCTGAAGATCTAGCCACTAGATCTTACCTAAAATGCGTCCTTCTTTTAGAGTTTGGATTCCCCAGCTTAATGGCGTCTGAGTTATCCGCAGAGCCCACTATCCACACTCTTAGCCTGCAGCGCCACCAGGCGTCCTAATTTACTATTGCATATAGTATTTGCCATTTCATCCTAAATTCTAACTGACGTGTATCCATACCCTTTTGTCACATAAGCTCTCCCGATGGTATCTCCAGCTCTTAGTTGCTGAAAGTTCTAAATAAATGTTGTGGAGTTAATTTTCAGTGAGAAAATACTTTTGAGAAAAAAACTAAAATTATATATTAATCTCCATAAAAGTACCCTTGAGTACACAAATACACTTTGTTTGGTGTTTCTTATTTGATTATATTAAATAAGTGATCAGGAATATCTATAGAAATTTAAAGTTTAAGAAAAATTACTTTCACTTTGAAGTAAACACCAATAACACCCAGAAAATGGCACAAATCATAGGTGTATAACTCAATGAATTTTCGCAAAGTGAACACACTCCTGTAAGTAGAACCTAGATTAAAAATACTACCCAAACCCAAGTCCCCACCTGCTATTGTCTGGTTACCACCCTCTCCCCAAAAGATAAGCACTGTCCTGACTTCTGTTGTCATAGGTTTTTTTTGCTTTTTTTTTTTTTAACTTTATACAAATGGAGTTATAGATTGTTACTCTCGTGTGTCTGGCTTCTTCTCCTCAATATTATGTTCAGCAAATTGATCTGTGGCATCTTGTTCTTATTTGTTTTATTCTCATTGCTTTATATCATTCTGTTGTATGAATATACTATGATTTATTTATTCATTCTCCAGTTGATGAACATTGTTTTCCAGGTTTAAGCTCTTTGGGGTAGTACTGGTATAAACATCCTTGTACTAGTCTTTTGGTGACCACATATATGTGTTTATGTTGAATATATTCAAAGGAGTTGGATTGCTATGCATTAAGATGTGCACATATATTTTGCTTTAGCAGATAATGAGAAAGTTTTCTCAAGTAGTCGTACTAATACCAGCAAAGTATGAGAGTTCCAGTTGCTCCACATTCTTGTCAACATTTGATGCTATCTTTTCCATTTTAAACCACTCTGGTTAGTGTATGGTGATATGATATTGTAATTTTAGTTAGCATTTTCCCTGATGATTAAACAATTTGAGCACATTTTCATGTTTATCAGCCATTAGGATACAATCTTGTGAAGGGCTTATGCAAACCTTTTTACTTTTTTGGGGGGAGGCATTTGCCTGTTTGCTTATTGATCTGCAGAAGTTTCTCATATATTCTGGGCATAAGTCCTTTTTAAGATATATGTATTGCAAATATCTTTTCCCACTCTATGGTTTTTATTTCAAGTCTATTATGTGTCTTTGATGAATAAAATTTCTTACCTTTAGTCAGATTTGTCAATAAGTTTCATGTATGATTAGCATTTTTTTGTGTTCTATTTAAATGTTCACATACTCCAAGGTCATGAAAATATTCTTGTATGATGTATTTTGAAAGATTAATTATTCCATTTTTCATATTTAAAGCTATAATCAACCTGAAATTAACTTTTCAAGTGAATGAGTTTGGAGTCAAAAGGTTTAAAATGTAAGTATCTGAATGCTTTAAACCTTTGCACCATCTATTTAAAAGACAATCCATTTTCCATTGTTTTTGAAATGTCATCTTTGTTATAAATTAGGTAACCATAGCTCTGAAGATGTTTTATTCAATCTTGTTTATCCTACAATAACTCATTGTGTTAATTATTATAGCTTTATCATGAGTTTTGTTATCTGAGAAGTAAGTTCTCCAGTTTTTTAAAAGTAGACTAAATTTTTAGAATGGTTTTTGGTTCACAGCAAAAATGAGAGTAAAGTACAGAGATTTCATATATGCCCCTGTCCCCACACAAGCACAGCCTCACCCATTATCAACATCCTCCACCAGAGTGGTTCATTTGCTACAGCTGATGAATCTACATTGGCACGTCATTATAACCTGGAGTCCATAGTTTACATTAGGGCCCATTCTTGGTGCTGTATATTCTATGGCTTTGGACAAATTTAAAATTATGTGTATTCACCTTTATAATATCATACAAAGTAGTTTCACTGCTCTAAAAATCCCCTGTGCTCCACTTATTTATACCTCCCTCCCTCCCCTAGAACCCAATGCAAGTGGATTTTTTTACTGTCTCCACAGTTTTGCTTTTTCTAGAGCACCATGTAGTTGAAATCACACAGTATGTAGTCTTTTCAGATTGGCTTCTTTCACTTAGTAATATCCATTTAGATTTCCTCAATGTCTTTTCATGGGTTGTTAGGTCATTTCTTTTTGATGCTGAATAGTATTCTATGGGTTGAATGAACTGCAGTTTGTTTATCTATTCACCTACTAAACGACATCTTGGTTGCTTCCACGTTTTGGCAATTATGAATGAACTGCTATAAACGTCTCTGTGCAAGTTTTTGTGTGAACATAAATTTTCAACTCCTTTGGGCAAATACTAAGGAACATGAGTGCTAGATAACATGGTAAGAGTATATTTTGTTTTGTATCAAACTGCCAAACTGTCTTCCAAAGTGTCTGTACCATTTTGCATTCCCACCAGCAATGAATGAGAGCTCCTTTTGCTCTCATTACCAGCATTTGGCACTGTCAGTGTCCTGAAGTTTGGTCATTCTAATAGGTGTGTAGTCATATTTCACTGTTATTTTAATTTGCATTTCCCTGTTAACATATGATATGGAGCATCTTTTCATATGTTTATTTGCCACCTGTATACCTTCTTTGGTGGGTGTCTCTTAAGGTCTTTGCCTTATTTTTAAATTGGGTTCTTGTTGCTGAGTTTTAGTCGTTCTTTGTATATTTTGAATAACAGTCCTTTATCAGATATGCCTTTTGCAAATATTTTCTCCTAGTTTATGTCTTGTCTTTTCATTCTCTTCATAGTATCTTTTGCAGAGCAGAAAGTTTTAATTTTAATGAAGTCCAGCTTATTAACTCTTTATTCTGCGGATTGTGACTTTGGTGTGGTATCTCTAGTTTGGTTCCTTTTCATCAGGGTTCCTTTGGTTATTACTGTTTTTGTATTTTCAAATAAACTTAATGCTCGGCTCATTAATTTTCACAAAGAAAGCTGCTGGAATTTTGTTTAAGATTTTATTGAATCTATAGATTGACTAAGAGATAACTGACATATTCCCAACATTGAGTCTTCCAATTAGTGAACATTGTATATTCCTGTAATTATTTAGATCTTCTTTAATTTTTCTCATATTTTAGTTTTCAATGTAGAAGTCTTATACATATTCAACTAGATTTGTTTATAAATAGCTGCTATTTTTGAAATTATTGTGCATAATGTTTAAATTTTTCACTTTTTTTGTTGCTAAATAGAAATAGAACTCATGTTTGTATGTTGACCTTGTATCCAGTGGCATTGTTAACTTCATTTATTAATTCCAGTAGCCTGTAGATTCTTCATGGCTTGCAAGGTATACAAGTATGTCCACTTAAAAAGACATTTTTATTTCTTCCCTTCGAATCATAGTGCCTTTTATTCCTTCTTTGCTTTATTCCGCTGTTTAGGACCTGTGATAGAATACTAAATTGGAGAAGAAAAGACAGGTATCCTTGTTTCATTCTTGATCTCCAGGGGAAAATTTTTGAAAATTTATTGTTAATGATGTTTCCTGTAGGTTTTTAAAGTCACTCTGAAAGTTCCCTTTGATTTTAGTTTGCTAATAATTTTACCACTACTGTGTGTTGAATTTTATCACATGACTTTTTTCTGTATCCATTGAAATAATCATGTTTTGTTCTTTATCTTTTAATATGGTAAATTACAATGATCAATTTTCAAATATTAAACTGCCTCTGTATTCCTAAAATAAACTCCATTTTCCAATTATTATTTTTCTTTTATACATTTTAAAATTTTATTTGCTAATATTTTTAAAAATGAATTTTCCATACATATTTATAAAAAAGAATAGTAATTTTCTTTTCTTATAATATCCTATTCAGGTTTGAATGTTATAACCTATTCAGATTTATGCTGGCACCCAAATGATTTGGAAAATGTCTATTTTTCTACTCTCTGAAGGAGTTTGTACAAATTAGTGATAATTTTGACATAAGTATTTGGGAGAATTCACTGCTGTGAATTAGAGTGGGAAGGTTTTTAATGAACAACTTTAATTAATATAATAGATATGACTAATCAGATCTTAATTTCGTCCTGTTTCAGTTTCGGAAAATTGTGTTTTTAAAGGATGGTTTCTGTTTTACATAAATTGTCAAGTTTATTGGCATAAAATTGTTCATAATATTTCTTTTTTATTTTTTAAATGTCTGTAGGTTGGTAGTTGTGTTTTTTTTATCCTGATATTGGCAGTTGGTGTTTTCCCTCTTTTTTTCTTGATTAGTCTAAGAGTTTTAAATTTTAATCATTGTAGAAACCAACTTTTTGCTTCACTGATTTCCTCTGTTGTATATTTGTCATTTATTTTGTTTCTGCCTATGTGTGTGTGTATAAAATTGTCTTCCATCTTTATTTGCATTTGATTTGCTGTTCTTTTTCTAGCTTCTTGAGATGAAAGCTTAGATTATTGATTTTTAGCCTTTCTTTTCTAACATGTGCATTTAAGATTTTAAATTTCCCTCTAAGTACTGTTTTGATACGCCAGGTGTTAATTTTTCCCCGTTCAAAATATTTGGAAATTTCTGTTGTGATTTCTTTTTGACTCATGGATTATGCAATTTGATTTTAAAATATTTGGAGATTTATTATATTTTTATTTCTGGCTTAATTCCACTGTGGTCAAAGAACATACTCTAAGTAGTTTCAATTTTTTTCCCCCCCAAGAAGGAGTTTGCTCTGTCGCCCAGGCTGGAGTGCAGTGGCACGATCTCAGCTCACTGAAACCTCCACCTGACGGTTTCAAGCAATTTTCCTGCCTCAGCCTCCCGAGTAGCTGGGATTACAGGTGCCTGCCACCATACCCTGCTAATTTTTGTATTTTTAGTAGAGACGGGGTTTCACCATATTGGCCAGGCTGGTCTCGAACTCCTGACCTTGTGATCTGCCCGTCTCTGCCTCCTGAACTGCTGGGATTACAGGTGTTAGCCACTGTGCCTGGCCTCAATTCTTTTTTAAATATTTGAGACTTCATTCATGACAAAGAACATGAACAATTTTTATATATCCCACATGCATATAAGAAGAATGTGTATGCTCCAGTGTGCTATGCATGTCAATTTATTTGAATATGATGTTCGTGTGGTTCGGATCTTCAACATTTTTTGTATGTGTGTGTTTTTTCTTCTTATTCTAACAGGAATTGAGAGAGTTGTATTCAATCTCCCTGTGTAATTGGGTTTGTCTACTTTGTATTTGTATTCTATCAACTTTATATATTTTGTAGTTATCTAATTGGGATGTATTCAGTCTTAAAACTAACATATTTCTGGTATATTTACTTCTTTATGATTATAAAAAAACTTCTCTTTATCTCTAGTAATGTATCTTTCCTTAAAGTCTCTTTTGTCTTATGTAAATACAGCTACCTAGATTTATTTTGGCTAGTGTTTATATTACTATATACCTTATCCAATTCTTTTAAACCTTCACTCTTTCTGTGTTCACACACACACAATTTGATAGCATAGAGTTGAGTTTTTCTTTAATCTAGTCTGACAATTTTTGTTGTTTAATTGGATTATTTAATCCAAATAAAATTAATACAATATCTGATATATTTCCATTTATGCTTACCATCTAATTACTTTTCTATTTGTCACTAAAGTTTAATTTTTCTTTTTGATTATTCAGATATTTTTAATTTTTCTTCCTTCAATTAGTGTTTTATTACTTTGAGGATTATCCAATAAATTACAGCATGCATCTTCAATATACAAGAATCTAACACACGTTAGTAATTTTACTACTTCCATGATAATGCTTACAGCCTTAACACTTTTTAACTCTATTTATACCTTTGCCTTTTACATTATTGTTGTTATAAATTTAAATTTTACATATAATTTAAATCCTTTAAGAAACTAGTATTAATATTATTGCCTTGTATAATCAATATTCAATCAACATTCATGTACATTGACCTTTCTTATTGCTCTTCATTTATTCCTGCAATTCTGTGATTTCTTTTGGATTGTTTTCCTTCTGCCTAATGCATTTCATTAAAAGCATTTCTTGGCCAGATGCAGTAGCTCATGCCTGTAATCCCAACACCTTCAGAGGCCAAGGCGGGTGGATCCCTTGAGGTCAGGAGTTCGAGACCAGCCTGGCTAACATGGTGAAACCCTGTCTCTACTAAAAATACAAAAATTAGCCAGGCGTGGCGGCACATGTCTGTAATCCCCTCTACTCAGGAGGCTGAGATGGGGAGAATAGCTTGGACCCAGGAGGTGGAGATTGCAGTGAGCCGAGATTGTGCCACTGCACTCCAGCCTAGACAACAGAGTGAGACTCTGTCTCGAAAAAAAAAAAAAAAGTATTTCTTTTAGTGCAGATGTGACTGTCGTTAATTCCCTTCATTTTTGTCTGAAAACTGCATTCATTTTTGAAGGATATGTTTGCTGGCAATAGAATTCTAACCTGGTAGTAATTTTCTTTCAGGACTTTAAAGATGTCATTCCTTTGTCTTTTGATTTCCTGATTTATGTTGAAAAGTCAGCTCTCCATTTTACTGATGCTCCTTTAACAGGAATGTTTTATTTCTTACATGGTTGGTTCTTAAATTATCTCTTTGACTTTGGTCTTGAGATGCTTTCCTATGATATGCCTAATTAGGCTTTGTTTTTATTTAGCCTGTTATTATTTATTTCTTGAATATCTTGAAGGATTAAGGATTTTCACCAGTTTTGGAAAATTCTTTATCATTATCTCTTCAAATATTGCCTCATGCTTGTTCTCTCTTTCAGTATGTTAGAGTTTTTAAAAATTACATTCCACACATCACTAATGTTCTTTTCTGTATATTTTATTATTTTATTCTCTGTGCTTATATTTGGATGTTAATATTGAATTGTCTTGCATCCACTAATCCTGTATCATTTTATGACTATGACATTAAACCATTTAAATAGTTTTAATTTCAGATAATATAATTTTTCAGTTCTAGAATTAACTTTCACTTTTAAAGTTCAATTCTCCAGTGAAATTATCTCCTTATTTTCTCTATTGTTCTTTATTTTTAACATATTAGTCTTACTTATTTTAATATCATTCAGTTAATTTTAATATCTGAATCATTTATGGGTAATTTTTATTGTCTTTTTTTTCTCTCGGTTTTATTCATGTATCCAGTTTTTGGTGTGTGTACTTAGGAATTTTTTATTGAATGTTGAATATTTACATAAAAAGCTATCCAAGGTTAAGATATTATCTTCCTCCAACAAGAGTTCACCTTTTCCACTGTTAACTTGATAGAGTTCTGTCTAAACAAATCATCTCAACTGAAACAGGCACTGGGCTTTGTCAAGGTTCTTTGCAGTCCTGATAAGCACCTGGCTCTCCAGAATTTTCAGCTGAGAACTTGGTATATTCTCCACAGCCCCTTCCCATGGCAGATCCTAAACTCTAATGTTTCAATAGCAAGACTATTAAAACTTCACTTTCCTTTTCAGAAATTTTCCAGTTAGGATTTTAGTCTTTTTCTCTGGGCTTCCCTGAGTTTGACAAGTGTCCTGAGGGGAAAATTTGGCCATGAACTTGAATCTTCCAGTCAACCCCAACAGCTATTGAAGTTACTCTGTCTCTGACAAAAGCTTTTTGTTTGTTCTCAGACTTAGCATATTTCCTCAGGGTAAAACTCCTGTCAGGAGTCAGTTTTCACCTCCAAGAATTTTCCTTCTCAGGAATCTTGGCCCATTCAGATCTTATTATATTATCTGTTTTCAGTTACTTCAAAACAGATAATTTTACATTTTAACCAATTTTTAGAGTTGCTTTCTGCGGCTAGATAATCCATCTACTCTGGAAGCAGAATTTCACCAAATATATGCATAGTTTTAACCTTAGACTATTTAAAATATATTTTGTAACTTTTGATAGTAAAAGAAGAGGGGATCATTTTGTTCTGTTCTGTTTTGTTTTGTTTTGAGACAGGGTCTTGCTGGGTCTCCCAGGCTGGAGTGCAGTGGCCTGATCATAGCTCACTGCAGCCTCAAACTCTTAGGCTCAGGCAATTTTCCTGCCTCAGCCTCCCAAGTAGCTGGGACTACAGATGTGTGCTACCATGACCAGCTAACTTTTTGTTGTGGTTGTTGAAACAGGGATCTCACTATATTGCCCAGGCTGGTCTCAAACTCCTGGCCTCAAGCGATCCTCCCCACTTGGCCTCCCAAAGTGCTGGGATTACAGGCATGAGCCACCACACCCAGCCAAGGAGAGGGGATTCTAAATTGATATGGGCTACGTTGCCTTCAGAATTTCTGTCTCCAAAACAGTGTGTGTTAAATTCACTATATGCTGTGCCTAAAAATAACAGTAGCAGGGGAACTGTAAAAGATGCATATATAATAGATTAATTTGAGAAAATACCTGTTGGGATGGGTGTTATTATCAAGATTCTTGGCCTCCATTCTCTAATTTTGTTCTGTGACAATAGAACTGGCCTATTTTCATAAGGTATGCATGTTGTGAAAGTTATTTGGATCGTGTTTACAACTAAATTCTAATAATTGAATTTTTAAATGTTGATCTATACTACACCTAGCTGGTAAGGAATGAGTCATGCTTTATGAATACCTCCAAGGATGATGTCGGTTTGGGGTGTTTATTTGAACGGTCTCATTTGGGTGATTATACGAATTGGACTTACCCTGCATAAACAACAAAAAAAATGATTTTGGACTTTCATCATGTCAGTATATAGTTGGTGAAAACTTCAACCAGATTTCTTACTTGTCATCATAAATAAAAGCTATTTCTTTTTTTTAAAATTTTTTTGAGACAGAGTCTCACTCTGTCACCCAGGCTGGAGTGCAGTGGTGTGATCTCTGTGGCTGGAGGTGCGGCTCACCACAACCTTCACCTCCCGGGTTCAAGCAATTCTCCTGCTTTAGCCACTCCTGTAGCTGGGATTACAGGTGTGCACCACCACACCCAGCTAATTTTTGTGTTTTTTTTAGAGACGGGATTTTGCCATTTTGCCCAGGCTGGTCTTGAATTCCTGGCCTCAGGTGATCTGCCTGCCTCCCAAAGCGCTGGGATTATAGGCATGAGCCACCACACCCGGCCTCAAAGCTATTTCATTTAAGTAGCTAATAATAAATGGAAGAAGACATTAAAGTTGACTACCATATTTATGTCTTACATATTTGTATGTTATATTCTGTTCTCACTTTATATCTTCTTCACTTTGATTTTTAAATTGAATAAATGCTAAAAAATATGTTTCAAGAATAACAGTCAATTTTCCTTTTTATTTCATTACACGTTTAGAAAACAAGAGTAATTCAAGGAAAAGTGCAAGTAATTTAACTCCAGTAGGATGATACTTGAGATTTAAAAATAAATGTTAGATTATAAAGCAAGTTCTTCAGTTGCTCATATTCTGCCAAAAGTAAAATAGAGGTGTACTATAGTTATATCCATACAACTTTACCTAGCTTACTGGGCTTACTGATCACAGCATAAAACAATTTTAATTCAGATAAATTTATTACTGTTCCAGTCTATACAAGGACAAAATAATATTTATTTCATGCAAGTGCAACTTTGGCATAATTGAGAAGTTAAATTAATTCAAAATAACTGAAGGTTACCTTAAAGAACAAATTAAAATAATTAAGCATTTAAAAATTATTTTTGTAAAGGCTGTCCATATCTGCAAAGTAATGTACAGTGAAAAACCTGAGATCAACTGATTATCAGATTTAAACAGAATAGCCAAGGTGCAGAAGAAATTTCGTGATTCTTTTGAAAGATGGGGAGAAGCTGTAGGAAAACCAAAAAATATACACATATTAAAGTATACTTGGATTTCTATTTATAGGGAGTAAAAGGTAGCACAAGGAGACCTATGATGCTCTCAAGAGTCTTGATTTTGGGGAGAAATTTAGGGCTTATTTCAGATTCTGAGATTTTTTTTTAAGATGATATCAGGCCATGATTTAACAGTTTTATTTATTGAAAGGTTATGACAAATTATATGAGATTTTTCTCTTTAAAAATTATTTATAAATAAGTTATTTTTACAAAATTTAATATTAGCATTCATGGAACATTACAATGTGCTAGGTAAGTAGCAACCAAATAAACAAAATAATCACTAGACATGTGGTGGTCACAAGAGGAAAAGGACCACAATTTTAGTGTATTACCAATGTAGTGAAGTGCATGTTTATATACAATTTGTGAAAAATGAGTAAACTAAATTTTACACTCATGGCTATTAAGAGGGCTTAGCCTAGTATAGTCAACCAGAAAGGACAAGGTAATTATAAAGTTAAATACAAAACTTTCAAACACTCTGGCCTTGCAAACATTAAGTTACATGGTAAAGACAGGCACAACAAATATTTAGAAATTCAATATTCATATATTCACTTAAATGTTCCATTAAAAAGATGTTAATTTAAGAATTTCATTAAAACATAATTTATTTTTATCCTAATTGAGTAATTTATGATTACAAAAAGATTAATCACCAATAGATCAAATATAGAGAAAATCCATACTCAATATCCAGTATAACTAAAAATGTTAAGTGCAATTAATAACAATAAAAAAGGGACAAATTTAGCTTTATCAGGGACATGAGTAGGTTTGAAATTGTGGTATGAATATTTAGATAAGTAGACAATTTTTTTAAATAAAGGCATTGCAGTGGGAAGTTTGACAAAACTAACGGGCGGTTCACTGAACTAAATACAATACTTAACTGAATACCAAGCTATTTCTGAACTTGGGGTTTTCCTTAACTTCCCTCCCGGTGTCCTGAACCAAGAGATTAGGAAATATTGGCTTCAGGAACTTGAACTCACCAGTCCCAGAGTCTCCTGTCAGACACACCTCGTACTGGTAGCTCTGGGACAGGGTCCCGGTGCCGCTTACGTCCACCAGATGCCCTGGAAAGGGGCCCTCGGGCACCGAGCAGCGACCCACCGAGGCCGCCCTGCTCCTCCTGCACAGCCGCACCGCCACGAACAGGAGCACCGAGAAGAGGAAGAGCGACGACACCGAGGCCAACGCCACCACCAGGTAGACGGTGAGAGAGTCGGCCTGGGCCTGGGCCGGGGCCGCCTCAGGGAGAGGCAGGTAGGGCTGGGAGAAGCCATCCACCAGGAGCACGTGCAGCGTGGCGGTGGCCGAGCGCGGAGGCTCGCCATTGTCCTTGACAAGCACCACGAGCCTGTGCTTGGCTGCGTCGCGCTCGCTCAGCAGCCTGGCGGTGCGCACCTCGCCATTGTGCGCCCACACGCCGAACAGCCCAGGCTCCGTGGCCTTGAGCAGCTGGTACGACAGCCAGGCGTTCTGGCCCGAGTCGCCGTCCACCGCCACCACCTTGGTCACCAGGTAGCCCGGCTCGGCCGCCCGGGGCACCAGCTCGGTGCAGGGCGCGGAGCCATTCTGCAGCGGGTACAGCACGAAGGGCGAGTTGTCGTTGGTGTCCAGCACCAGCACGCGCACCAGCGCCTCGCTGCTCAAAGCCGGAGAACCGCGGTCTGAGGCGCCCACGCGGAACTCGAACGCCTGCAGGGCCTCGTAGTCCAGCGACCTGAGGGCGAACAGGTGGCCGTTGTCTGCGTTGATGGAGACCAGGGAGGCGAGGGGCAGGTGCGGGTCCTGGGGCGGCAGCAGCGAGTAGGTGACCTGGGCGTTGGTGCCCGAGTCTCTGTCTGTGGCGCTGACACTGCCGATGTGCAGGGCGGGGCTGTTGTTCTCGCGGACGAACAGGGTGTAGGAGGTTTGGGTGAAGGCGGGGGCGTTGTCATTGACGTCGGAGACCTGCACGGTTATGTTCTGCTGGGTTTTCAGCCTGGGTGTCCCCAAGTCAGTGACGGCGATGGTGATGTTGTACTCAGCGCTGGTCTCTCGGTCCAGTGGTCTCTCTGTTACCAGGGTGTAAAAATTCTTCAAAGTTGGTTTTAGAATAAACGGTAGATTATCTGGAATAGAGCAAATCATCTTTCCATTTTCTCCGGAATCTCTATCTCGAATTCGGAAGATAGAGACTACCGTCTCAGGAGCATTTTCTGGGATGGAGCTGGTGAGTGAAGATATGATAAGTTCTGGGGGATTGTCATTCACATCCACCACCTCTATGACTACAGTGCCTTTTCCAGAAAGGCCTCCTCCATCTGTGGCCTCAATTTCTACATGGTAAGATTTAATTTTTTCGAAATCCAATTTTTTTTTCAACAGTATTTCTCCCGTGACTTCATTTATTGAGAAAGTTTGTTTAATTTCATCTGATGCTTGGAATAAGCCATAAGAAACACTCCCGAAGTTTCCAGCATCTATATCTCTAGCTAAGACCCTAACAATTGGAGAGTCTAGGGGGCTGTTTTCCAGGACCTGCACCCCATATGGAGTGTGCACAAACTCAGGAGCATTGTCATTGATGTCCATGATCAGGATTCGAACCATGACCGTGCCAGACCTAGGTGGTGACCCACCATCCAGCGCCACGAGGGTTAAGCTGAACTCAGGCTGCTCCTCTCGATCCAGTGGTTTGTCCTGCACCAAATCTGGGTATTTCTTGCCCTCACTATGATTTCGAGTGAGAATGTGAAAATGAGAATTGGGGCTGATTGTGTATTTTTGAAGACCATTGCTGCCCACATCCAAATCCTCAGCTATTAGCAACGGAAATAGAGTACCCGGCTGGCTATTTTCTAGTATTTTCAAGAGCACTTCCCTTTCAGGGAATATTGGAGAGTGATCATTTATGTCCTGGATCAATAATTCTCCTTGAAAAAATTGCACCGGCATTTCCAGGAACACTTGGAAATGCAGTACACACGGTTCAATAGGACCACAGAGCTCTTCCCGGTCTAGTTTCTCCCTCAGAAGCAAATCTCCAGTCTGACGATCCAGCTGCAAACGCTGCTTGTCATCGTCAGACAGCACCCGGGCTGACCGGGAGGCCAGTTCCCCAATTCCCAGGCCCAGATCCTTGGCCAGATGGGCTACAAAGGAGCCGCTCTCTGTTTCCTCCAACACAGAATAACGAATAGGCTCGAGGCGAACCTGAGACAAGAACACCATCAAAATAAAGGCCAACACTTGCCTGTTTGGATGAATTCTCCCTAGCTTCTTCATGTTGGAGTCCAGGTCCCTATATCCAATCCCCTCAGCAACCGCAACGAGACTTGAGACATTCAATTCCAATTTCTTGCTTGGAGGAATCGTCACACAGTTGCTTTTAATATTAAATTTGTTTAGTATATCGCTGCCCCAAGCCGTTGGTAAACCTGCACTGCTTGTAACGCTTCTTCCGTGTGTTTTTGATTGCGTCTAGCGACACAGAAGAATACGCGCGAGCTTTTTAGGGCTCATTATTCACAACTTAGCCTGCAGCGCCACCCTGCGTCTTGATTGAGAAATTAACAACTTCAAGACAACGTATTTGGGAAGTTTTAAAATAAAAGCCATTTTTAAGAGCATAGAATTTTTACAAACTTTGTTACATTAAACTGCATAATTTAAAAGGTTATTTAATTACAGTGCACGAACCAGAATAATCATGAGCACAAATCAAGAAGATATCTCAGACTCCCCACACGCTTATCAGTGAAACTTCAAAGAACTCCATTTCTTCTTTACATAATCCAGCCACAGGAGACAAATTTTTATACACTTTCAATTCAATTCTTAGTAGTTATAAATGTTCTTTTCTAAGAATGTGAGGACTTTGTGATGATGCAAAAGTTTAAGATGTTCTCTATACATGGTCTAAAGCGCGACTACCTTTGAAACGAAAGGTTCTATTTTCCTACTTTAATGTGCAAATAGTAATACAGGTGAATAGACAGGTATCTTGTTTTGTATCAAGTAATTTATAGTGTGAACCTACATTGAACCTAGGAGTAAGGCAAATAGTATTAGAATCACAGATTCTTAGAACTAAAGAGGAAATAAAAGATAAGGAAACTAAAACTGAAGCTCAGAGGGTAACAGGACTTGATTATTCTATGTGACTATTATGAGGATAATGTCAAGACAAAAGTGAGTAACAGTCACAGAATTTTGTGAAGATAAAGGCTTTAAGCTGAGCTTATTTAGCAAGATAGATGTAATCTATATTTTACAATGAGTTTGCCTGTTACCACACTCACCTTTTGTATCCCAGATATCATATTCCTTGACCAGCTAATTTTGGGGAAAACAAGAAGCACTGATTTAAAATATTTTATTCTGTGACCAAAGGGTGACTTAGGCTGTCTCTACTCAGATATGGTGAAGTAAAGAGACTTGTGTATAAAATGGATCCCACCACAGTGTGTAGCTACTGTGATTACTCTCAAACAATAAGAAAGAATGGTACCACTGAGACACAGTTAACCAATTTATTGGTTGCAATTAATACACTGAATGGAGCACCACTTATCTTGCCACATATAAGATTTTCTCCCCTTAAATATCTTGTTATTTTATTTAGTTATCCAATTCATATAAGTAATTATAATTTATAATTCATGTTAAATTAATTCTTTTTAAAGCATGAAATCTGAGATTTCAGATTCTGATAGTGATAGAAAGTATTAGTAAAAATTGTGAAAGATACATGGATTTTATTTAGTAAATACCAGTTGAATTAATAAATTAATCCACTCAAATGATGTTTTTATCTATATAAGCAGATTATTGTCAGATCATATATTCAGCCTTGAACATGTCTGAAACTGAATACAGAATTTTGAGAATATAATACATGCTAAGCATTATATAACTAAATTTACTTTGATTCTATTTCTATTAATTAATTCCTATAAGGGATATATCAATGGCAGTAATAATAATATTAACATCTTAGAATTTTCTTTCACATTTAAAGTAAATCAGAAAAGATACACTATGCATCACTATTAAATGAAAAACAATAAAAATATATACTGAAAAGAATAAAAAGAAAGAGTATTATTTTAGACATAACTGGAAAACAAATCTCCTGGGCAAATCAAAGAGAAAATTGTTTCTAATATAGTAACCAGGTTTTAGTTAGATTCAAGTTAATGCATTCAGGACAAAATTCAAACCATATTTTGTTTACTTATTCCTACATGTTGACATAGAGTAAGAATTGGGTCTTTTCAGTTCCTTTTGCAATCCAAAAGTAAATGAAATCTCAATAACATTAACATATATATCCACTATACACCAGATATTTTTCTAAGCATTTTGCGTATGTTGACTCATTTTATCACCCCAACAACCCTATGAGGTGGGCAGTCTTATTAGCCACATTTTAAAGACGAAGAATTGTGGCACACAGAGTTTAAATAATCTGTCCAAAGTCATACAGCATGTGAAACGGCAGAGCCAGGATTTAAACTGTTACTATGTGACTCCAGAAACCATTCTTTTCTATACCTAAGCAGAGCTGGAGAGGTGAACAACTTTTCAGATAATTTAGATCCCAACTTCAGCCTTGCCTTGGGTACATGGTTATCATAGGTGAAATATATTTATATTCAAATTTTCAATTATTATTAGAAACTTAAAAATTACTTGTCTCCCTTTAGAGATAGTTAGTTACCAGTAAAGAGAGATGTTTATACAACTTACACATTGGAAGGAAAACTAATACTCAACATTTTTGTCGAGATCATTATCAGGTGAAAAAAATGAAGAGTGACATAATGAATTACTCATAGCCTTAAACATTGGATAAAAATATGTATAGATCTTTTGAAAAGTTGTTTAGGTTCTGATAAAGGGTTTAAGGTTACAATCAAGAAGCGTGGCCTAGAAGAATGGCCTAGCATATTATGCCATAGTTTATTTCCCTAAACTGCCATATTTATCAGAAAAAAAAGATCTGTTATACCTGAATGGAGGATAAGCTAATGATATAAGATAAGCTAATGAAGTAAAGAATGAGCACCTGAAAACTATTTCACACCAGTCAGAAAAGCTGTGTTATCCATTCTGAAGGATTCATATGACTATTTACATAATTGGTTGCCAGATCTGAAGCATGATATTTAATTTTTTTCATTTTAAATATACAAAGAAAGATAAAATAGAGGGATACGCAGGAAACTAGTTGCTCTCTGGTAAAATATAGGCAAGAACCTTATCGTTGAAGAAAGATAAAAATCATTTTAAAGAAATTTGAGGCTGGGCATGGCAGCTCATGCCTGTAATCCCAGCACTTTTGGAGGCCAAGCAGGAGGATCACTTGAGGTCAGGAGTTTGAGACCAGCCTGAGCAACATAGCAAGATCCTGTCTCTACAAAAAAAAAAAAAAAATTATCCAGAGGTGGTGGCATGCACCTGTAGTCCCAGCTACTTGGGAGGCTGAGGTGGGAGGATTGCTTGAGCCTGGGAGATTGAGGCTTCAGTGAGCCATGACTGTGCCACTGCACTCCAGCCTGGGTGACAGAGTGAGACTCTTTCTCAAAAAAATAAAACCAAAAACTACTAAAATAAATAAATGAGTTCAGCAAGCTTGCAGAATACAAGATCACTATACAGAAATCAATTGTATTTCTATACAGTAGCATTGAACAAATCAAAAATGAAATCAAGAAAGCAATGGAATTTATAATAGATATCATCAAAAGGAATAAAATGCTTAGGAATAAATTTAACAAAAGAAGTGGGAGAACTGAACACTGAGCACTACAAAACATCATTGAAAGAAATTAAAGAAGATCTAAGTAAATGAAAAGTGTTCATGGATTGGAAGACTTAAGATTGTTAAAATATTGGTATGCTCCAAATTGCTCTACAGATTTAGTGCAATCCCTATCAAAATTTCAGTTGGCTTTTTTGCAGAAATTGGTAAAGTGACCGTAAAATTCACATGAAAATGCGAGGTACCCAGAATACAATCTTGGGAAAAGAGGAACAAAGTTGAAAAGCCCACACTTTCTGATTGTAAAGATATATTCTAAGTTATATATCACATATTTGAGTATTTTGATATATTAAACTTATAAATGCTATTTTTATTCTAGAAAAAATTATTAGAAATTATCTTAGATTCCATCACAAATTTCTCAAGTCAAACTCTAATTATTCAAGTATCCCCTTCCTACATGTACATTTCAGTGAGTGTGACTTTAAAAATATCTTATAGGTTTAAGTTTGGAAAGTTAGCTAATGTAAAATTTACTTTGCTTTCACCACTGAGCACTATTGTTTGCTTTACAGCTATTTCATTCAAATGGTCAGCTGATGTATCTATTGTACCCATTTAATAGAACATTCCAGGAGATCATTCCTTTTATAAGAATTTCTAATAAATTCCACAAACCATTGATAGTAACCATTTATTATTGAGAGCTTAACATTTTGAAATAGTGCTATTGGAAATATGATTTAAAGAAATAATAGTCAAATTTATCTCTTTCTCTCAAAAATTAATGTTTAATTTTCCTCTATTCTCCCCTTTCAAAGTAAGAACAAAACCATCCTCAAGTCATGGTGAAGTTTTAAAAATACTCTTTCATTTTTAAAATAGACTATTCAAAATAGTATGAATTTAACATTTTTAACTTTAGGACTAGGTATATTCAAATCCCTTTTTTTTTTTTTTTTTGAGACGGAGTCTCGCTCTGTGGACCAGGCGGGAGTGCAGTGGCGCAATCTCGGCTCACTGCAAGCTCCGCCTCCCGGGTTCACGCCATTCTCCTGCCTCAGCCTCCCGAGTAGCTGGGACTACAGGCGCCCACCATCACGCCCGGCTATTTTTTTTGTATTTTTAGTAGAGACGGGGTTTCACCGTGTTAGCCAGGATGGTCTCGATCTCCTGACCTCGTGATCTGCCCACCTCGGCCTCCCAAAGTGCTGGGATTACAAGCGTGAGCCACCGCGCCCGGCCTCAAATCCCTTTTTAAATCTTTTTTTCTTGAGACAAGGTCACACAGGCCCCTGGAGTGCAGTGACACCATCATAGCTCACTGCAGCCTCGAGCTCCTGGGCTCAAGCAATCTTCATGCCTTGGCCTCCTGAGTAGCTGGGATTACAGGTGCAAGCCACCATATTCAGCTAATTAAAAAAAATTTGTAGAGATGGGGTCTTGTTATGTTGATCATCCTGGTCTTGAACTCCTGGCCTCAAGCATTCCTTCCACCTTGGCCTTCCAAAATGCTGGGATTACAGATATGAACAACTGCAACTGGCTCATTGTTTGATTTTAACATGCTGAACCAACCTTGCATTCCTGAGATAAATCCTACTTGGCCATGGTATGTAATCATTTTTATGTGATACTAGAGTCAGTTTGCTAAAATTTTGTTGAGAATGTTTGCATCTATATCCATAAGAGAAATTGGTATGTATTTTTCCCTTGTGTTATCACTGTCTGGTTTTGTCATCATGTTAATACTGGCCTCTATAGAATAGAGTTGAAAAGTGGTCCCTGCTCCTCTATTTTTTGAATGAGTATATTAAGTACTGGTGTTAATTCTTCTTTAAACATTTGGTAGAATTGACCAGTGAAGCCATCTGGTTCTGGGCTTTTCTTTGTGGAAAGTTTTTGATTACTGGTTCGATCTCTTATTACAGGTCTATTCAGGTTTTTTGTTAGGTTGGTGTAAAAGTAATTGTGTTTTTTGCCATTGAAAGTGATGGCAAAACCACAACTACTCTTGCACCAACCTAGTATTTCTCCTTAGTCAGTTTTGGCAATTACAGGTCTATTCACATTTTCTATTTCTCCTTAGTCAATTTTGGTAGTTTGTGTTTTCCATTTAATCTAGGGTTTTTTTTTTCCATTTCATCTAGGTTTTCTAATTTGTTGGCTTAAAATTGTTTATAGTATTCCCTTAAGACCTGTGAAATAGGTCATACTTTTTCCTCCTTTTTTTTAATTTTAGTAATTTGAGTCCTCTTTTTTCATCATCAGCCTAGCTAAAGCTTTGCCAATTTTATTGATCTTTTCAAAGCACCAACTTTTAGTTTATTTTCTCCATTGTTTTTCTATTCTATTTATTTCCACTCTAATAATTTCCTTTCTTCAGCTTGTATTGGTTTTAGTATGCTCTCCTTTTTCTAGCTTCTTAAGGTGGAAGTCTGGGTTACTGATTTGAGATCTTCTTAAAATATATAAGTATTTCAGCTATTATTTTCCCTCTAAGCACAACTTTTATTGTATCCCATAAGTTTTGGTATGTTGCATTTTCATTTTTATTCATTTCAGAGTATTTTTTAATGTCCTTTGTGATTTCTTCTTTGATTCATTGTTTTTTTAAATGTTTAATTTCCACATATTTGTGAATTTCCCAAATTTTCTTCTGCCACTGCTTTCTAATTTCATTTCATTGTAGCTGGAAAACATACTTTATATGATTTTAACTCTTTCAAATTCATTAAGACTTGTTTTATGGCCTAAAATATAGTCTATCCTGGAGAATGTTTCATATGCACTTGAAAATAATGTGTATTCTGCTGTTGTTAGATGGAGTGTTCTGTTAAGTACTGTTGGTTTATAACATTATTCAAGTCTTCTTTTCTCATGTTGATACTATTTCATTGTTTTATCATTTATTGAAAATTGTGGTATTAAAGTCTTCAGCTATTATTGTCAAATTGTCTAACTTTTCATTTGTGTCTCTTTTTGCTCCATTTATTTTGGGTTTCTATTATTAGGTGCATATATGTTTATGATTATTATGTTTTCCTAATGGATTGACCCTTTTACTATTATAAAATTCCCCTCCTTAACTTTTCATTTTTAGTAACTTTTGTGCTTGTTTTATAGTATATTTTGCTTGATATTAATGTAGGCATTCTAGCTCTTTTGGTTACTATCTACATAGTATATCTTTTTCCATCTTTTTACTTTCAACTTATGTGTGTCTTTGAATCTAAAGTTTCCCTTGGTAGACAGCCTAGAGTTGGATCATTTCTAAAAATCCATTCTGCCAACTTCTGCTTTTTAATTGGAGTGTGTAATTCATTCATATTTAACATAGTTGCTGATAAGGTAGATTTATATTGACAATTTGCTTTGTTTTCTATGTCTTATTATTTTATTTCCTCATTGTTCTCTTTTGTGTTAAACACATATTTTCTTGGGTACCATTTTAATTGACTTCTCAATTTTTTTTACCTTTTTTAGTTATTTTCTTGGTGGTTTCTCTGATTATTAAAGTGAACATCTTTTACCAATCTAGTTCAGATTAATATCAATTAAATTTCAATAGTATATAGAATTTTGTTTCTATATAGCTATGTTATCTCTCCCCTCCTTTGTGTTACATTGTCATACAAATTACATCTTTACAAATTATATACCTATGAACATAGATTGATTATTATTGCTTTATGCAGTGTTCTTTTCAATAAAAAATTTACAAATAAAAACACATTTATAGTTCCCTAGATATATATATATGCCTATAAGTTACTTTCCCTTTATGAGGCTTTTATTTTTTGATGTGGATTAAAGTTACTTATTGGTGTCCTTTTATTTTAGCCCAAATGACTACCTTTAATATTTCTTTGTAGAGTAGGTTTGCTACCAATGTAATCAGTCACTTATTATTTTTTGGTAATATCTTAATTTCTCTTTCATTTTTGAAAGATACTTTTGGTGGATATAGAATTATTGGTTGATAGTCCCTTTAAGACACATTCAATGCAGTGTGTAGAGGGAAATTTATAGCACTAAATGCCCACAAGAGAAAGCAGGAAAGATCTAAAATTGACACCCTAACATCACAATTAAAAGAACCAGAGAAGCAAGAGCAAACACATTCAAAAGCTAGCAGAAGGCAAGAAATAACTAAGATCAGAGCAGAATTGAAGGAAATAGAGACACAAAAAAAAACCTTAAAAAAATCAATGGATCCAGGAGCTGGTTTTTTGAAAAGATCAACAAAATTGATAGACCGCTAGAAAGACTAATAAAGAAGAAAAGAGAGAAGAATCAAATAGACGCAATAAAAAAAAGACAAAGGGGATGTCGCCACCGATCCCACAGAAATACAAACTACCATTAGAGAATACTATAAACACCTCTACGCAAATAAACTAGAAAATCTAGAAGAAATGGATAAATTCCTCGACACATACACCCTCCCAAGACTAAACCAGGAAGAAGTTGAATCTCTGAATAGACCAATAACAGGCTCTGAAATTGAGGCAATAATTAATAGCTTACCAACCAAAAAAAGTCCAGGACCAGATGGATTCACAGCCGAATTCTACCAGAGGTACAAGAAGGAGCTGGTACCATTCCTTCTGAAATTATTCCAATCAACAGAAAAAGAGGGAATCCTCCCTAACTCATTTTATGAGGCCAACATCATGCTGATACCAAAGCCTGGCAGAGATACAACAAAAAAAGAGAATTTTAGACCAATATCCCTGATAAACATCGATGCAAAAATCCTTAGTAAAATACTGGCAAACCAAATCCAGCAGCACATCAAAAAGCTTATCCACCATGATCAAGTGGGCTTCATCCCTGGGATGCAAGGCTGGTTCAACATACGCAAATCAATAAATGTAATCCAGCATATAAACAGAACCAATGACAAAAACCATACGATTATCTCAATAGATGCAGAAAAGGCTTTTGACAAAATTCAACAACCCATCGTGCTAAAAACTTTCAATAAATTAGGTATTGATGGGACGTATCTCAAAATAATAAGAGCTATCTATGACAAACCCACAGCCAATATCATACTGAATGGGCAAAAACTGGAAGCATTCCCTTTGAAAACCGGCACAAGACAGGGATGCCCTCTCTCACCACTCCTATTCAACATAGTGTTGAAGTTCTGGCCAGGGCAATCAGGCAGGAGAAGGGAATAAAGGGTATTCAATTAGGAAAAGAGGAAGTCAAATTGTCCCTGTTTGCAGATGACAAGATTGTATATCTAGAAAACCCCATCGTCTCAGCCCAAAATCTCCTTAAGCTGATAGGCAACTTCAGCAAAGTCTCAGGATACAAAATCAATGTACAAAAATCACAAGCATTCTTATACACCAATAACAGACAAACAGAAAGCCAAATCATGAGTGAACTCCCATTCACAATTGCTTCAAAGAGAATAAAATATTTAGGAATCCAACTTACAAGGGATGTGAAGGACCTCTTCAAGGAGAACTACAAACCACTGCTCAATGAAATAAAAGAGGATACAAAGAAATGGAAGAACATTCCATGCTCATGGGTAGGAAAAATCAATATCATGAAAATGGCCATACTGCCCAAGGTAATTTACAGATTCAATGCCATCCCCATCAAGCTACCAATGACTTTCTTCACAGAATTGGGAAAAACTACTTTAAAGTTCATATGGAACCAAAAAAGAGCCTGCATTGCCAAGTCAATCCTAAGCCAAAAAAACAAAGCTGGAGGCATCATGCCACCTGACTTGAAACTATACTAGAAGTCTACAGTAACCAAAACAGCATGGTACTGGTACAAAAACAGAGATACGGACCAATGGAACAGAACAGAGCCCTCAGAAATAATACCATGCATCTACAACCATCTGATCTTTGACAAACCTGACAAAAACAAGAAATGGGGAAACGATTCCCTATTTAATAAATGGTGCTGGGAAAACTGGCTAGCCATATGTAGAAAGCTGAAACTGGATCCCTTCCTTACACCTTATACAAAAATTAATTCAAGATGGATTAAAGACTTAAATGTTAGACCTAAAACCATAATAACCCTAGAAGAAAACCTAGGCAATACCATTCAGGACATAGGCATGGCCAAGGACTTCATGTCTAAAACACCAAAAGCAATGGCAACCAAAGCCAAAATTGACAAATGGGATCTAATTAAACTAAAGAGCTTCTGCACAGCAAAAGAAACTACCATCAGAGGGAACAGGCAACCTACAGAATGGGAGAAAATTTTTGCAGTCTACTCATCTGACAAAGGGCTAATATCCAGAATCTACAAAGAACTTAAACAAATTTACAAGAAAAAAAATCAAACAACCCCATCAAAAAGTGGGCAAAGGATATGAACAGACACTTCTCAAAAAAAGACATTTATGCAGCCAAAAGACACATGAAAAAATGCTAATCATCACTGGCCATCAGAGAAATGCAAATCAAAACCACAATGAGATACCATCTCACACCAGTTAGAATGGCGATCATTAAAAAGTCAGGAAACAACAGGTGCTGCAGAGGATGTGGAGAAATAGGAACACTTTTACACTGTTGGTGGGACTGTAAACTAGTTCAACCATTGTGGATGTCACTGTGGTGATTCCTCAGGGATCTAGAACTAGAAATACCATTTGACCCAGCAATCCCATTACTGGGTATATACCCAAAGGATTATAAATCATGCTGCTATGAAGACACATGCACACGTACGTTGATTGCAGCACTATTCACAATAGCAAAGACTTGGAACCAAGCCAAATGTCCAATAATGATAGACTGGATTAAGAAAATGTGGCACATATACACCATGGAATACTATGCAGCCATAAAAAATGATGAAGCTGGAAACTATCATTCTCAGCAAACTATTACAAGGACAAAAAACCAAACACCGCATGTTCTCACTCATAGGTGGGAACTGAATAATGAGAACACATGGACACAGGAAGGGGAACATCACACACCAGGGCCTGTTGTGTGGTGGGAGGGGGGAGGGATAGCATTAGGAGATATACCTAATGTTAAATGACGAGTTAATGGGTGCAGCACACCAATATGGCACATGTATACATATGTAACTAACCTGCACGTTGTGCACATGTACCCTAAACTTAAAGTATAAAAAAAAAAAGATAGTCCCTTTTAGCACTTTGAATGTGTCATCCCACTCCCCTTTGGCCTCCATTATGTCTGTAAGAAATCAGTGTCAGTCATACTGAGGATAAGATTTTTGAGGATAAGGTATGTGATGAGTTGCTTCTCTCTTGCTGTTTTTGAGGTTCTCTTCTTGTCTTTAGCTTTTGACAGTTTGATCATGATGTCAAGGCATGAATCTCTTTGACTTTATCCTGGTTGGAGTTTGCTGGGCTCCTTGAATGTGAAGGTTAATGTTTCTCATCAAATTTGAGAAATTTTCAGCCATTATTTCAGCTATTCTTTCTGTTATTCTGTCTCCTTCTTCTCCTTCTGGGACTTCAAGTATGTGTAGTTAGTAGGCTTCATGGTGTCCCACAGGTCTCTGTTCATTTTCATTTTTGAAAATCTTTTTGTTGCTAAGACTGGATAATTTCAGTTGATCTATTATTTTTTTCTTTCTTTTTTCTTTCTTTCTCTCTCTTCCTTCCTTCCTTCTTTCCTTCTTTTTCTTTCTGGGTTTTGTTTTTTTTTTTTTTTTTGAGACAGAGTCTTGCACTGTCACCCAGGCTGGAGTGCAGTGGCACAATCTTGGCTCACTGCAAGCTCAGCTTCCCGGGTTCACGCCATTCTCCTGCCTCAGCCTCCCGAGTAGCTGGGACTACAGGCGCCCACCACCACGCCCAGCTAATTTTTTTGTATTTTTAGTAGAGACGGGGTTTCACCGTGTTAGCCAGGATGGTCTCGATCTCCTGACCCTGTGATCCGCCCGTCTCGGCCTCCCAAAGTGCTGGGATTACAGCAGTGAGCCACCGCGCCCGGCCCTGTTTGTTTGTTTGTTTGTTTGTTTGTTTGAGACAGGGTCTTGCTCTGTCACCCAGACTTTTTGTACTAGACAAGCTCTAATTCAGGCAATTAAAGACAGCCTTGCAAGTGGAGTCCTCCAGGGAACCACCAAACAGATCAAATAATGACAATTCTTTGTGGTGCTGTTCTGTTTCCTCTGGTGGCTGCCAAGCTGCTAATTTTCATTGTGATTGTAAATTGTTAACTTTAAAGGCTACTAAGAAGCTAGAGAGATGGAGATGGAAATAGGCCAGTTAAAATGCCACAAAAACCACTATTTTTAACCAAGAGTCAGACCTTTTTCCCTCAATAAATTTTCCCTAAGTTGCTGTACATCTTTGTTTAAATTTCAGAGTTCTGAAGCAGTAGATTTTGAAAATTTTTCTCATTTTCCTCAGTGCTTTCCTGGAGAAGAGATTTTTCAGAGGTCCATTCTCTACCATTTTCACTGATGCTCAGAATATATTCTTTTTTAAAATTGCAGTAAAATATACAATACCCTTTTTTGTAATAACAAACATAGACAATGAAACTTCAACACTGCCAGTTACCTACTTTAAATTAAATAGAATTGAAACATTTGGGATGAAGAAATTCATTTCCTCAGAGATAAATTTAAACAAAAAACCTCAGAAAGATACAATTTAGAGAATACAATTTTTAAAAAATAAATCTCACATTGTTCTAGAAATTAAATTTCTTTTAAAAGTCTTTCCTCATAGATAGCTCACATTAATTAGAGACAATTGGCTTCAGAAATTTGATATTTGTTTCTGATATTCCAGAAACTTCTCACACTGAAAGCTCTAGAACTAAATCCCAGTGGTGTTGATACTCCCAAAATGCTCAGGAAGAGTCTTTCTTTTGAGCAGCAATGCACTGAAGTTTCCCAGTTGACCCTCCACATCTGAGTAGCACAGGAACAGAGAGAATTGAAAGAGAAAGAAGACTGAGTCAAATCAGTGATCAAGAAAATGGAAATCCTTTTATGGGTGGTTAAAGGAATGGAAGAGAAGACTGGGGTAAGTCCTAGACCAGGTGTAGGATGATCATGGCAAATAAAGGTGGCTTCCACTTGTCCTTAATAACAGCACCAGCTTATGCCTGGTTGTGGTTGTCTTTTAGAAGCCTAGATGTGCTTCACATACTCTGTACTTCCAGGCTGTGGGCCCACATGCTAACATCCAGGGCTCTGAGGCCTCGAATCACCAATAAAATAGTCATGAGTTCTAGCCCAAGTCATCACTGGGTTACCACTTTTTTTCTACCTGGACAGCTCAGTACACAATATAGAATTGCTTTATAATAAATTTTCTTTGTTATCTAGCTATTATAGCTGTGTGTCATCCAGGATCTGCACATCTTGATGCTCAACTCCAGAAAGCTCCAGACACATTTAGAACTCAAACTCTTCAAGAATCTCAAAAACCAGGGACATCAAAGCACACAGGTTCCATTGTCCATGCAGATGGATACCAAGAGAGGGCTGAGGAATACGTCTTTGGGCAGCTGTGGGAAAGTGACTTAGGTATTAGTCCCTAGATAGTCTCTGTTTTTGGCAGTGATACTATCATCATTCTGAGTAGGACTTTCTTTTTATTGTGAATTAATAAGGTACATGAGGTTTGGGTCAGGGAATTGTTGACAGTGTTGAAGAACAGTGTGATTATGTTGTGCTATATTTCTGCATGTTAGATTCCACCCTAGTAAGAGATGGTGCAGAGCCCTGACTTCTCTGTTACCAAAATAATTTTATTTTTTGAGATAGAGTCTGGCTGTATTACCCAGGCTACAGCATGATCATGGCTTGCTGCAGCCTCAACTTCCTGGGCTCGAGGATCCTCCCACCTCACCCTTTTCAGTAGCTAGGACCTCAGGTGCATGCCACCACACCCAGTCAATTTTTAAAATTTTTTGTAGAGACAGAGTCTCACTATGTTTCCCAGGCTGTTGTTGAACTCCTGGGCTCAAGCAATCCTCCTGTCTCGGCCTCCCTAAGTGCTGGGATTAAAGGCATGAGCCACTGTGCCCAGTCCCAGAACACTAATTTTTGACAAATGGTTTCATGAGGAGATTGTCTTGGAAGGAGCAAGCCCATTTTGCATTATCACCAGAGTCCCAAGCTATTTTCTAAAAAAAAAAATAGCAACCACTATTTCAGTGGAATCTTGGAGTATGTTATTATCTTTCTGAGCATTACCATGAATGCTGTAACTTGAATCCAGACCATGATGTTTTCCACATAGTCCCCATGTGTCAATTGCTTCAGTTACAGTTCACTTTTCCTAAAAATCAACTTATTTACTCTGAAGATTGAAACATTTTAAATTTCTCCATTAGCTTCCATGTCTATAGCCTTAGCAGAAACCGTGACAACCAAGAAGCAGTGACATTCCCTGAGATTTTTGCCTCATTGAGCAAATGCAGAACAATACCACCCAAAAGAGCATGGGTCCCAACTCAAACATATTTTTAGTGCTTGGTCCAGAACTTTTACCTGGGTGTGGCAAAGTTGAGCTAAGCTTTTTTCTTTTTTTATTTTCTTTTCTTTTTTCCTTTTTTTTTTTTTTTTTGAGACAGAGTCTCGCTCTTTCGCCCAGGCTGGAGTGCAGTGGGGCGATCTCCGCTCACTGCAAGCTCCGCCTCCTGGGTTCACGCCATTCTCCTGCCTCAGCCTCCCGAGTGGCTGGGACTACAGGCGCGTGCCACCACGCCCGGCTAATTTTTTGTATTTTTTAGTAGAGACGGGGTTTCACCATGTTAGCCAGGATGGTCTTGATCTCTTGACCTCGTGATCCACCCACCTCGGCCTCCCAAAGTGCTGGGATTACAGGCGTGAGCCACCACGCCCGGCGAGCTAAGCTTTTAAATTAAGGCTTGGGTTTGCAGAGGCCAGGGCTGAAACCACCTTGAGACCCCTCTTCTCCTTCTTCCCTTCCCCAGGATTGTCAAAACAAGTACTACTGTGAAAGAAGCTTCCAATAAGAGATAAGTTCTCAGTAAAATATCACCAAGCAAATGAAGATTGACACCATGAAAAAGAGACTCAACAAATAAAAGAATTGTTTTATCTACTATAAGAAATTGAAATTCGAAACAATATGGCAAGAACTTAAACGTAAAAGACTCAAACAACAAAGAAGGAAATAGCAATTTTGAAACAAGAACAAATAGTTGTGAAAACTTGCCAAATGAAAGTTTTCAAAAGAAAATTGTAATTTCTCAAAGAAAAAAATGCAGTACGTTATGTGAATCTCAGGTTGGGGCCTACCATATATATCAGAACAGCAAGAATAAATTTAAGAATCTAAAAGAGAGTAAAGAAGTTTACGGATAAAAGAATGAGAAGTAGACTGACATTGTACTTTTCATCAACGTGTTGAATGCCTAAAGAATGGAAGGAAAATAAGCTTAAAATTTTGAATCTATGATAAAGAAAACTATTGATTAACCATATGCATATTTGACATTAAAATAATTCATAATTAGGACTAACAGATTTCTGGCTTAAAAAATCTAACAATTACTTTAAGAAGCAAAAGACATTTCCAGAATAAAGTAGGGGGATATATAGAAAAGTTGGTACCTTTTTTAAACAGAGTCTTCTTTTGTAAGGAAGTAGAATTTATTCATCAAAGGAGATTTATGAAAAGTATGGTGGTATAGTGAGTGGCCTCACTAGTTTTAATGATTGATATTTGAATATAGCTTAGTCTTATAACAACTCCCCAAATAAAAATTTAAAATTCATTTGTATCCCTTTGATTTTCAGTGCTAAAAACTAGATTGTGAATGTCAAGGAAATATTTAAGTTATTTCTGAACTAATGTATTTGTAGAGAGAAGAAAGGAGTGTGCACGTGATCGAGAATTATGTTTTGAAAATAAATGAATGATTGGCTATTAAAAAAATTTTTAAGCCTTTGGGATCTTGCAAATTTTATTTAATCTTGATATCATTAAGACTAACCCAAGTTCAACAGAAGTACCAATTAGAGGCCAGAGAATTTAAATACCAATTTCAGAAAGTTAATTTGATGTACAAAAAAGTCTTATATTTAATTTCTTCTTTGTCCCTGAAATCAAAGATATAAATAAGCTCAATTTGGAACCAACTTGGAGATTAATACATAATTTTACAGTTCTCCAAGTTTCCACAAGTCTCAAGATGCAAAGGGAGACATTAAATAAAAAATTGCCTCTATAGGGAATTATTCTTCATACTCCACCCCTTTCTGAATACAGATAGTTCTTTTAAAATTCAATGTGTAGATCAGGTCCAAATAAACAAGTTTGTAAGTCCTTACAGCATTATTTTATTTCCCAAATAATTTAAAATTTATTTATTTAACAAATATAAACTGAGTGTCTACTATGAATGAGGCATTGTGCTATTTGCTGGAAATACCACTGTGAATAAACCAGAAACAGACTCTACCTTCAAGTTGTTTAGAGTCTAGTAAGGTCATTTTATATATTCTAGAATGAGGGAAGGGAGTAAAATTTTTCCTTCTCTTACTTTTTGATAATTGGAATACTGGTGAGATCGATTTGTAAATATTTTACAATAATGAATTAGCCTGCCTAGAAGAAAAATTACTAGAAAATTATTAATAACCCTTTTACCTTGTGCCAGGCATTTAGTTCGTGGAATTCCAAAACGTGGCAACACTAGTTAGTACTGTACATGTGGTACTCTCTCTGTTCTGTATTTAATGAAATATCCAGATGAATATGTTTTTGGAAGTTGTCTTCAAATAAAAGGGTAAAAGGTTTCTAACTGCCCTGAAAGAGAAGCAGCTTTGAACCAAGAGTAAGATGTGATTGTTTCCCACCTTCAAATTTAGTATAGATTATCTTTTCTGGCTTTGCTAAATTCTATTCATTTTCTCAACAATGTATAAGTCCAGTACATCTAAAAACTAAATTACAAATGGTATCTGTTCTTCTATCTTCAGTGTCTAAATGACTCAGCATATTGCCTTTTGAACTTTAGTCTCCGATCATATACCATATTAGTCCCCAAAAGAACTGCCCTCTATATTTTCCACAGTTGAGTACTTCCCTGGCTCTGATACCACCTGGGACTAAGGTAATCAAAGAGAGAGAAATCTTGATCAGAATTCTATGCCTTTTCCTGATATTCATGGAAAATCAGCTACGTATGCAAAGAAGAAAAATATCTGACCAAAACAGCCAGATTCAAACATCTCTATAAAGTACTTAAAGTGAAAGGAAATATTATATTAATTTTCCTCTGACTATTAAAGATTCACATATTTGGCTGGGCATGGTGGTTCATACCTGTTAATCCTAGCACTTTGGGAAGTGGAGGCAGGAGGATCCCTTGAGCACAGGAGTTCCAGACCAGCCTGGGCAACATGGGGAAACCCCATTTCTACAAATAAATTTTTTTTGTTGTTAAATAGCTGGGTGTGGTGGCACACACCTATGGTCCCAGCTACTCTGGAGGCTGAGGTGGTCAGATCCCTTGAGCCCAGGAGATTGAGACTGCAGTGAGCCATGATTGTACCACTGCACTCCAGCCTGGGCAACAGAGCAAGGCCCTGTCTCAAAAATTTTTTTTAAAAAGTATTTATGAATTTGATGCTGTTACATAAAATTACACCATTTAAATGTGATAATAACTACACTTTAACATATGTTTGAAAGCATGTCAATCTTAAACTCTTGCTTTTTGGGGAATTTTTAAAATCTTTGAGAAATTCTCTTTTCTCTAGTCATGAGTATTTAATTGCTAGAAAGTTATATGGATGTTCTGTGGGTGAAGAAATGCTTGTAAGAAGAAAATTAATTTTTTCCTAATACACTTCCCTAATTAGGAGCTAAATATTTTGTCGCTTAAAATAAGTTTTTTTATTTTACTCAAGATAACCATAAGATTCCATGTTTTGGTTGCTTCCAGATTTTATTCTTAGTTGTAGCTAATTTAGAGTTTCACAACGATATTGCCCTCTCCTTTTTAGAACTTTCTATTCTTGTACATCTTCTTTTAATTACATTGCAGGAGGTAGGATGCTGATAAGGATGGACAGTTTCTATCCCAGAAAGACCATATATAATCCTAAATCATGTCAGGTTAAAATCTGAAGGAGGGAACCAAGACAGGAAAAAAAGAAAATATCTTTCTCCTATATCATCATACAAGTGGCAAGTAGGTATTAATAATAAAATAGGACTGGGCCGGGCGCGGTGGCTCACGCCTGTAATCCCAGCACTTTGGGAGGCCGAGGCGGGCGGATCACGAGGTCAGGAGATCGAGACCATCCCGGCTAAAACGGTGAAACCCCGTCTCTACTAAAAATACAAAAAATTAGCCGGGTGTAGTGGCGGGCGCCTGTAGTCCCAGCTACTTGGGAGGCTGAGGCAGGAGAATGGCGTGAACCCGGGAGGCGGAGCTTGCAGTGAGCCGAGATCCCGCCACTGCACTCCAGCCTGGGCGACAGAGCGAGACTCCGTCTCAAAAAAAAAAAAAAAAAAAAAAAAAATAGGACTGGATAGGACACCACTTTTACCTTGAAGCATTTAGATATCATATACCCATGTATTTTCTTGAAATTAAAAATTGTCTCTCAGATTCATAACACTTACATCTCAGAATTTATGAAACAAATAGTTGTTCCACCAGATGTCTTACTAAACAACGTTTTTGTGTCAAATGGAAAAGAACAGTCAGTTTTTTAAATGGCATAGGTTTAATTTTTTTCCTCAGTCATCATGAACACACTTTAGATAAACCAAAGGGTAATTACCCATATTAGTCTATATTTGTGTCCATATTTTGGCCAATATAAGCACATAAAATATTGAAATATTAATTGCAAATGTCAACACAGAAAATGAACTAAATTACTTTCATTTGAGTACTATATCCCTAAAAAGATGATATATTACTATTTATTAAAGAAAACACATTCTTGTCTATCCTTAAAACTTTGTTAACTATAGACAAAGCTGCTTTGGGCATATTATAGAACACATTATATGAATATATTCAACAAGGGAAATTATAAAATTGGTGGTTTGGAACTCTCTCTACATTGCTTTATAATGTAAAATTTGAATGGAGTTATTTTAATAAGCTATTTGAAATCACTATTAAAAGACAGTGAATTTCTTTTTGCTCCCCATTAGAAAAAAAAAAGGCGGAATTAAGACTGCGTTGGCAAGCCAGGATGAAAGGAGAATATGCAAGGATTAACTACAGAAAAAGTAGAATCAATATATAAACAAAATGTTCTATCGACTAAGGATTCTCGATTGAAATACAAAACATTCAGAGCCACACAACTACTTTCCAGTACTGTTAATGAAACCTAAGCCATCCCTGGATTTGATATTTTGCTCTATTCTTGCTACTTGCCTTGAACCAGACCAAAAAAGACCTCTCCAATGGACAAAGCAGTAAAAAAGGACTTTCCACAGATTAACTAAGACGAGGCTCAGTAGATCCTTATTAACACTTAACTGAATTCAAAGCTCTTCCTGAAACTGGGATTTGCCTCGCTAACCCTCTCTGCACCCTGAGCAACGAAGTTGGGGATAATTGGCTTCAGGAACTTGAACTCATTTGTCCCGGAGCCTCCAGTCAGACACACCTCGTACTGGTAGCTCTGGGACAGGGTCCCGGTGCCGCTCACGTCCACCATCTGCCCTGGAAAGGGGCCCTCGGGCACCGAGCAGCGACCCACCGAGGCCGCCCTGCTCCTCCTGCACAGCCGCACCGCCACGAACAGGAGCACCGAAAAGAGGAAGAGCGAAGACACCGAGGCCAATGCCACCACCAGGTAGACGGTGAGCAAGTCGGCCTGGGCCTGGGCCGGTGCCGCCTCCGGGAGAGGCAGGTAGGGCTGGGAGAAGCCGTCCACCAGGAGCACATGCAGCGTGGCGGTGGCCGAGCGCGGAGGCTCGCCATTGTCCTTGACCAGCACCACCAGCCTGTGCTTGGCCGCGTCGCGCTCGCTCAGCAGCCTGGCGGTGCGCACTTCGCCATTGTGCGCCCACACGCCGAACAGCCCGGGCTCCGTGGCCTTGAGCAGCTGGTACGACAGCCAGGCGTTCTGGCCCGAGTCGCCGTCCACCGCCACCACCTTGGTCACCAGGTAGCCCGGCTCAGCCGCCCGGGGCACCAGCTCGGTGCAGGGCGCGGAGCCGTTCTGCAGCGGGTACAGCACGAAGGGCGAGTTGTCGTTGGCGTCCAGCACCAGCACGCGCACCAGCGCCTCGCTGCTCAAAGCCGGGGAGCCACGGTCTGTGGCGCCCACGCGGAACTCGAACGCCTGCAGGGCCTCGTAGTCCAGCGACCTGAGGGCAAACAGGTGGCCGTTGTCCGCGTTGATGGAGACCAGGGAAGAGAGGGGCAGGTGCGGGTCCTGGGGCGGCAGCAGCGAGTAGGTTACCTGGGCGTTGGTGCCTGAGTCTCTGTCTGTGGCGCTGACACTGCCGATGTGCAGGGCGGGGCTGTTGTTCTCGCGGACGAACAGGGTGTAGGAGATTTGGGTGAAGGCGGGGGCGTTGTCATTGACGTCGGAGACCAGCACGGTTATGTTGTACTTGGTTTTCAGCCTGGGTGTCCCCAGGTCAGTGATAGTGATGGTAATGTTGTACTCGGATCTGGTCTCTCTGTCCAGCGCGCCTTCTGACACTAGGGTGTAAAAATTCTCTACAGATGGTTTCAGGAAGAAGGGGAGATTGTTCTCAATGGAACACATCACTCTTCCGTTGTCTCCAGAGTCTAGATCAGAAACACTGAAAACAGCCAGTACAGTCTCTCCCGAGTTCTCAGGAATAGGGCTGTTTACTGAAGACAAGGTCAGTTCCGGTGGGTTGTCGTTGACATCAACCACCTGGACTATGACTGTAGACTTTCCGGATAGGCCTCCGCCATCCTTGGCCTCGATGTCGACTTCATAACTATTAATCGCTTCAAAATTCAAATATTTGACCAGTTGCATATCACCAGTAATTGGATTTAGCTGAAAAGTTTTGCGAATTTCTTCAGAAGCATGAAAAAATGCATATGATATTGTCCCAAAACTTCCTGTATCTAAGTCAGAAGCCGAGACAGTGACAATGACAGAGTTAACGGGGGTATTCTCTAGAACTGCAACCTCATAGAGCGGCTGTGCAAATTCTGGTGCATTGTCGTTTATATCTAAGACCTGGATGTTTATCTGGGCTGTCCCAGACCGAGGGGGAGAGCCGCCGTCCAGCGCGGTGAGCGTTAAGCTGAGTTCCGGCTGCTCCTCCCGATCGAGCGCTTTATCCAGTACTAGTTCCGGGTACTTCCTTCCGTCCCTACGACTGCGAGTGAGTACGTGGAAGTGGGAATTCGGAGTGATAGTGTAGTTTTGGAGGCTGTTTCTTCCCACATCCAAGTCCTCAGCATTTCCCAAAGGAATTACTGTTCCTGGCAGAGTGCTTTCTAGGATTTTCAGATGCATTTCATTTTCAAAGAATACCGGAGAATGGTCATTTACATCTATGATACGGAGCTCGTTTGTAACGAATTGCAAAGGGTTTTGCAGTAATATCTGAAAATGTAGTATGCATGGTTCTGTGGGGCCGCATAGCTCCTCCCGGTCCAATTTCTCATTCAGGAGCAAATCACCTGTCTGATGACTGAGCTGAAAATGCTGTTTGTTCCCTTTGGACACAACTTGGGCCCCCCTCGCGGCCAGTTCCTCTACCCTTAGTCCCAGATCCTTTGCTAGGTTGGCTATTAAAAAGCCCTTCTCTTTTTCCTCAGCCACAGAATAGCGTCTTGACTCGGACCCAGCCAGAGACCCTCCCAGAAAAACAAAGAGAAGCAAGACTTGCCTTTGTCTAAGAAATCGCTCTCCTCCCGCCTCCATTGCACTTTCCGTCACGCTCTTCCAGGGAATGTCGCCAAGCTGAACCTCAGACAGAGCTGGGAAACAGTCTTTTGCCCCACAACCTTTGTAGACGGCCTAGTGAATAAGCCTTTCCAGAGGCTCAGACTTGCTGGCTCAAAAATCTGCCTGGGCTCTCAACCGCTGGTTTACCACACTGGATCCGTGCGTCACCGAGCATGCACAATGCCTGTGGTTTAATTCGCCTTCTTAGTCAACAGCGCCACCATGCGTTCGCTTGCAGTTACAAAATCTTGGAGAAGGTGTTTTTATTTTGCTTTATCGATTATTCTTATCAACCCTAGTTGACGCTACTGGAGGAGTTTCTCATGTTATATGAATTAAATAAATGCAATCTAGGGAAATAAAATGCACTTTTATCTACGAGCAGCGATTCTTCCTGGTAGAGTCCTCATTTACACGATTTAACGGAAGTGTACACATACTAGTTTACCCCTCCCCTTTTGTAATAATTACACACAAACTTCAAAAGATTTTTGCTCTAGATGATAGCATGCTTCACTATCCTATTTATGTTTTTCTTTTTTTCCTAAACTTTGTGAAATGAGCCCGAATTGCATATACCAGAAAAACACAAGGAAAAGACACCTCCTGCAAGGTGGTAAAAAAGAAAATATATCATGTCAGAGGTGGATCCAGAGGACTACAAATACCTAATTTCTTCCAGATTATCATGCTCAAGGAACACTTAAAGTGCTTTCTCTTCTTATTTCAGAGCAAATTTACAATTATTCATTTCATCTGTATTAGTTTATTTCCACAGATAATTGTTGAGTTTGTAGAAGTTAGGCAAGTGGTGGTAACAAGACAATGTCTGTATATCTTACAACAATTTTCCATCTAGTGGGTGTACAGTCTTTAAACAGATGTTTAAACAGTGTGAAAAGTGCTACATAGAAAAGGTACTGAGTGCACTGAAAGTATGCAATACGGGGACCTAACTTAATGGAGAGTGATTAAGAAAGTTTCCCCCAAGGTGCACCATTTAATCTGAAACATGAAATAGGAGAAGTGTGCCAGGCTAAGACTGTAGAATGTGTGAAGGCCCTGAGAGAGCAAAGCATAGCTATTAATAGATAATGAATGAAGTACAGTGAATACAAAACTTAATGTCTCAAGAGTAAGTGGAAAGGAAGGCTGAAAAGGTAAACCAAGGCCAAATAATGGGCGCTTGGATTTTATTATTCTAAGAACAAAAGGAAGCCATTGCAAGGTTGTTGGTACAGAAATAAAACAGTGCAAATATGTGTTCAATGTAGCCGCTTTTGTACTTCTACACAATTATCAAGAATGTTTGCTCTTAATACTAGTGATACTAAAAATAACAGCAATTTCACTTTTATGTCTTTATATTGAGTATAACTGCAAGCTATTCAAATACCTGCTATCATTTGGGTAGAAGAAAAGAAACTTTGTGACTCATCCAAAATCCTACAGGTAATGAGTTGGTTGATCAGAGACTTTTGATACCAACACAGCGCTCTACACCATTGCTAATCTCAAAACAAGACCTTCAAAGTTAATATTAAAATTTTAATAGGATAGCTCATTCAAATGTATGTAAAAATGATATAAAAATATAAAGATAGACTGAGTAACATTAAGAATTAAGATTTGTTTTAATGTATGGATCAGAAAGTAAACTGCAAGAAATGAAAACAGTTGGGTGAGTCATTTAGGGAACTATGGAAGGAAATTTAAGTAATAAAATTAAAAGCCATCTGTATTCCTTAAGCCAGTGGACAGGAAAGGAGGCTCAATTTAAGCATTAAGAGAAAAAGTAAAAATATGTTGAAGGAAAGCGACAACAGAATGATAACTGCATGTTCAAACAATGGTAACCAATTCAATTAATAACAAAATTATAATTCATTGTACACCAAAGAGTATTTGATTCCAGCAAAATGTTTTCCTTTAAGTGTTCTAGTTTATTTAAATATCAATATATCACAGGTAAAATACTTTTCTCTCTTTCAATCATTCAAAAATTTTATTAAGAGCCTATAATATTCCAGTGACTGTGTGAATCATTCAATAAATGAGGGAGCTGTTGAGAAACAGAACTCAAGCACCTTTATAAAAAAGCATTGAAAAGTCTAGGGAAATGAAAGGGGGAAAAATAGAAGTAGTCAGTGCAAAAAAATAGAGTGAGTGGTGCTAGATAAATTTTTCTCCCTAAAGGCTTGTTTCTAAGTGAATCCTAAATGCTCCAGAAAATTTTAAAAACAGCAATACCAAGCTATGTTTGAGGGTTCTAAAGGTAAAGGACAAAGACATGTACTCCCTCAAATTTTTTGGATTTTAATGAAGTGCTCAAAGTTAATAGGTTATTAATAATTTTAAAAGATTTTAAAGGGGGGGACTGGAATAAGCAGAGGGCTCTTAAAAAAACTATTTGAAAGAGAAAGCATGATGAATTAGCATGCCTTTGAAAATTGCTAGACATGTATTATTTATCTACATTTTTGAATATTAATGATTGACTTTTGACAAAAATTTATTAGAGCACTTATGATGTTAGTGCCTTGTAGAATCCAACAGTTAAAATTCTTACAATCTCTAAAGACTAATACTTTTCATATGTCAACACTTGAAAGAAGTATACATATTGGACTGGGGGGCGGTGGCTCACGCCTGTAATCCCAGCACTTTGGGAGGCTGAGGTGGGCAGATCACCTAAGGTCAGGAGTTCAAGACCAACCTGACCAACATGGAGACACCCTGTCTCTACTAAAAATACAAAATTAGCCGGGCATAATGATGCATGCCTGTAATCCCAGCTACTTGGGAGGCTGAGGCAGGAGAATCGCTTGAACCCGGGAGGCAGAGGTTGCGGCGAGCCGAGATTGCGCCATTGCACTCCACTACAGCCTGAGCAACAAGTGCAAAACTCCATCTCAAAAAAAAAAAAAAATTACATATATTGAAAAACGTAAGGACGGTGCTTGCTATATTATTCATAAATATACCTATTTAAAGGGTTAGCCAATGTGAATTCACAGGATAGAATTTACACTAGCCTAAGAGGATATAAAAAACACAAATATTCTGGGCTGGAAAATATAACTCATGTAATGATAACAAATATTTTCAAATGTAGGACTTCAAAATTATCTAGGACCATAGACTGTGAGGTCTGGAAAAGATGCTCTAACTTAAAGATTTCTGAAAATACAAAATTTACTTTTACACTTTAAATGCAATTAAATTGCAATGAAACTAACCAACAATTAGAATACAAAGAAAATTTACATTTATTATACCGCAAAAAAACTCATACATTTATAAATACCAGTAACATGCATAGAATTGGAATAAGATGGTTACTTTCTAATAAAAGGAGACACCTCCAATGGGCAAAGCAGTAAAAAAGGACTTTCCACAAATTAAACGAGACTAGCCTCAGTAGATCCTTATTAACACTTAAGTGAATTCAAAGCTCTTCCTGAAACTGGGATTTGCCTCGCTAACCCTCTCTGCACCCTGAGCAACGAAGTTGGGGATAATTGGCTTCAGGAACTTGAACTCATTTGTCCCGGAGCCTCCAGTCAGACACACCTCGTACTGGTAGCTCTGGGACAGGGTCCCGGTGCCGCTCACGTCCACCATCTGCCCTGGAAAGGGGCCCTCGGGCACCGAGCAGCGACCCACCGAGGCCGCCCTGCTCCTCCTGCACAGCCGCACCGCCACGAACAGGAGCACCGAGAAGAGGAAGAGCGAAGACACCGAGGCCAACGCCACCACCAGGTAGACGGTGAGCAAGTCGGCCTGGGCCTGGGCCGGTGCCGCCTCCGGGAGCAGCAGGTAGGGCTGGGAGAAGCCGTCCACCAGGAGCACGTGCAGCGTGGCGGTGGCCGAGCGCGGAGGCTCGCCATTGTCCTTGACCAGCACCACCAGCCTCTGCTTGGCAGCGTCGCGCTCCCTCAGCAGCCTGGCGGTGCGCACCTCGCCATTGTGCGCCCACACGCCGAACAGCCCGGGCTCCGTGGCCTTGAGCAGCTGGTACGACAGCCAGGCGTTCTGGCCCGAGTCGCCGTCCACCGCCACCACCTTGGTCACCAGGTAGCCCGGCTCGGCCGCCCGGGGCACCAGCTCGGTGCAGGGCGCGGAGCCGTTCTGCAGCGGGTACAGCACGAAGGGCGAGTTGTCGTTGGCGTCCAGCACCAGCACGCGCACCAGCGCCTCGCTGCTCAACGCCGGGGAGCCGCGGTCTGCGGCGCCCACGCGGAACTCGAACGCCTGCAGGGCCTCGTAGTCCAGCGACTGGAGAGCGAACAGGTGGCCGTTGTCCGCGTTGATGGAGACCAGGGAGGCGAGGGGCAGGTGCGGGTCCTGGGGCGGCAGCAGCGAGTAGGTGACCTGGGCGTTGGTGCCCGAGTCTCTGTCTGTGGCGCTGACGCTGCCGATGTGCAGGGCGGGGCTGTTGTTCTCGCGGACGAACAGGGTGTAGGAGGTTTGGGTGAAGGCGGGGGCGTTGTCATTGACGTCGGAGACCAGCACGGTTATGTTGTGCTCGGTTTTCAGCCTGGGTGTCCCGAAGTCGGTGACGGTGATGGTGATGTTGTATTCGGATCTGGTCTCCCGGTCCAGGGCCGTGCTTATCACCAGAGTGTAAAAGTTCTCAACAGAAGGTTTCAAGAAAAAAGGAAGATCATCTTGGATGGAGCACACCATCCTTCCGTTGTCTCCGGAGTCAGGATCTGAAACGCTGAATACAGCAATGAGGGTGTCCTGCAAGTTTTCTGGGATCTGATTGATAAGTGTCGACATAGTTAGTTCCGGAGGATTGTCATTCAAATCCATCACTTGGACAAATACCACACAAGTTCCAGATAGGCCCCCACCATCTGTCGCCTGAATATTTACTGTGTATGTCTGGATGGATTCGAAATCCAGTTTCTGTCTTAAAAGCAGTTCTCCCGATTTTGCACTTAATCGAAACGTTTTGCGAATGTCTTCAGATGCTTGGGAAAATGCATAAGATATTTCTCCATTAGTTCCAATGTCTAAATCCCTGGCAGAGACGATGGCAACCTGGGATCCAACGGGGCTGTCCTCCGGGATCTGCACCTCATAGAGCAGCTTTGCAAACTCTGGGACGTTGTCATTGATGTCCACAACTTCAATCCGTACCAGGGCCGTGCCGGACCTGGGTGGACTCCCGCCATCTAGCGCTGTGAGGGTTAACCTGATCTCAGGCTGCTCCTCGCGATCCAGGGCTCTGTTCAGCACCAGCTGTGGTAATATTATGCCATCGAGACTGTCTTGTAAATTAAGATGAAAGTGGAAATTGGGACTGATTGTGTAATTTTGGAGACTGTTGGTTCCTACATCCAAGTCCTGGGCACGTTCTATTAAGAAAGTAGTTCCAGGAGTGATACTTTCTGGAATTTTCAAAAGTATTTCTTTGTCTAGGAAAACTGGGGAATGATCATTTACGTCCCTAATCCGTAGCTCCGCCTGAAAAAACTGCAAGGGATTTTCTAGTAACACCTGGAAAGGTAGGACACAGGGCTCTGTGGGGCCGCACAGCTCCTCCCGGTCCAATTTCTCATTTAACAACAAATCCCCGGTCTGCCTATCGAACTGCAAATGCATTTTTTTTCCTTTGGAAACGACCCTGGCCCCCCTCACAGCAAGTTCTCCTATCTCCAGCCCCAGGTCTTTTAACAAATTGGCCACAAAGGAGCCACTCTCCGTTTCCTCGGCCACTGAATAGTGCCTAGGCTGGCAACTAGCCTGAGCTATGCCCAGCAAAACAAAGAATATCAGGACTTGCCTTTGTTTCGGAACGCGCTCCTTCCCCTCTCCGGCCTCCATTGCTTTCTGGTCTCTCACCAAACGTGCTCCAGCTCTGGCTCACGTTGTCGCTAACTCTATCTCCCCGTATCTCGCTGATACTGGGATGAGTGGACAATCCTAGGGCCCGGATTTCCCGGAGCGACCGCCTTAGAAAGCCTCCTCTTCCTGCTTGCTGCTTCTTTAGCTGAGTATCTGGGTAAGGGAGCGTCGGCTGGGTGCTTTGTTTCTGCTACTTCTAAGGCTGCAGCGCCACCCCGCGTCTCTTCCGAGTATTTATTTTCTCCTAAACTTTAAGAAAATCCCAGTGCTTTCTTTCAGGCTGATGGCAATCGAAATTGAGTATTTTCAAGTAGTGTCTCTCAGTGTACCGAAGTCTTATTGGCGTTTCGAAAGGCTCTTCATTGCACCCATAGAGACAGGGCAAGAATAAATAAATCTTCACTTCCCTCACAAATCCAAGCTTTTTTTTTTTTTCAAACTGGAAAAAATAAATTTCAGAACCTGGAAGGGAGTGATCTCAGTCCTAGCATGCTTCGGAAAGAAGGCTTAGACTAAGAAAGTTCTATTTTTATTCAGAGTTTGGGCATGTGTGCAACTCAGTGGTGGTTAGATTACCATCATCACACTCAAACCCAGCTGAAAAACAGAGACCCAGGAAAAGCACAGAATCCAAATAAGAGTATTTTAATGGGCACTGAAATAGTCTCCTTACTCATATTTCTTTCTTTGCACTGCTCCCACTTCACATTTTCCTGAACTTTGATGTGTCTGAGCCTCATGAAACTCTCCAAGAGCAGCCAGATATTTCCTTATTGTAAATGTATCAATATTATTTTCCTTTCTAATGCCTAGGAGAACTTTCAACATAACCTCAATTCAATTACCACATCTAGCAAAGAGCAATTTCATAATATTAAATAGCCAGTAAATATTCCAGTTTCCCCAATTATCTTTAAAAATGTCTTTTCAGTGATGGTTTCTTCAATCTGCTTCCAAACAGGGTATATATGTCATTGTTTGTTGTTAGGTTTTTTAATTTTGTCTTTTTGTTTCTTTTTTAATGTTAATATAAAGAAGTTATCAAGCCACAGAATGACATGAAGGAAACTTAAATGCATATTTCTCAGTGAAAGAATCCAGTCTGAAAAGGCAATGATACTGTATAATTCAAATTACATGATACTCTGAAAAAGGCCAAATTATAGAGACATTTAAAAGACAAGTGATAGCTAGGAAGAAGAGGGAGGGGGATGAAGAGGTTAAACATGGGGTACTTTACGATACTACAATGGTAGATACATGACATTATGCCGTTGTCAAAATCCACAGAACTATACAACACAAAGAGTGAACACTAAACTATGAAATTTAGTTAATAATTTACCAGTATTGGCTCATCAATTGTAACAAATGTACCACAGTAATGCAAGATTTTGATAACAGGGAAACTTTGAGTGGGAGAAAATCGGTATGTGAGGGGAACTGTTTGTACTATTTGCTCAATTTTCTGTAAACTCTAAGGCTGCTTTAAAAAATAATTTTACTTTGGGAGGCCGAGGCAGGCAGATCACGAGGTCAAGAGATCAAGACCATCCTGGCCAACCTGGTGAAACCCCATCTCTACTAAAAATACAAAAAAAATGAGCCAGGCATGGTGATGGGTGCCTGTAATCCCAGCTACTTGGGAGGGTGAGGCAGGAGAATCACTTGAACCCGGGAGGCGGAGATTGCAGTGAGCTGAGATCATGCCATTGCACTCCAAGCCTGGTGACAAAGCGAGACTCCATCTCAAAATAATAATAATAATAATAAATATTAGGATGTGTCTCTAAAAGATCCATTGGGTTAAAAAATTGGGGGATGAAGAAAAAAATTAAATATATAGAACAGTTAAAAGAACTATACATAAACTACAACTCTAACCTCCATCCAAACTTAACAATTGTTTATATTTTACCATATTTGTTCTATCTTATTCTGTACACACACCCGCTTTTCTGATGACTTATATGAAAGTAACTTGCAGACATCATATTTCACCTCTAAATATTTCAGCAGGTATCACATAATTATAATATTATCTCATATAATCATAATGGTTCTATCATACCTAAGAAAATTTAAAAAAATTCTACAGTTATCTAAAATCCAGCCCCAATCAAATTTCACTGTCTTTCCATTATCTTTTCCTCAATTTTGATAAGAATTCACACTCACTCAAGTTCCTTTGACAAATGCACTTACTTTTTTAACTATTTGTTATAAGGAATGTCTTAGAAACTTTTTCAACCAACTTTGATAATTGTATTTGGCTATTAGATCTATTTACTCTAGAATACTCCCCCATCTTTAATGACATTAGATTTCTGAAGTGTCCAGACTAGTTGTTTTGTAGGATGTCCTACATTCCAAATTTGATTGTTTCCTCATGGTATCATTTAACCTGTTCTTCTATCCCCTGTATTTTCAGAAAACTGGACTGGATGATTTATTAAATGTAACAATAGCATAATATTTTAAAAAGCTCTCATTTATCATCTTGTAACTGGCTAAAAAAAGGATAATCACAGGTTCCTTTTCTTAACATTTAGAAAACAAATGCCTATCTCTACCTGTTGATATTATTTTTTGCTTTCCATGATTATTACTTTTATATGGATGTTATAATAATTCAAAATATGTTAATTCATTGACATTGAGCATTAAACAAATTCATTGAGGTGAATAACACCCAAGGTCCAAGTCTTTAAAAACAGCTTTTTATATAATCTGCAAAACCTGATTAGGGTCCGAAATAGATGTAGTGAAGATCAGTTATATCATACAGGCAAATTATAACTGGTAGGTTACTCGAAATTTTATATTTAACCAGGTATATGGCTATTTCCTTTGGACAGGTTTTCTGAACTAAAGCAGTTATGGTTAATTTGGGATAACATAAAGGAGAGGAAAATAGGTAATATGAAGAAAATAACATAATCTCTTCTCACAAGCTGGAGAATAGAAAACTTAATATCTAAGATATTTCAGAGGATACAATAACCAAGAACACATTAGGTTTTATTGTGAAAAAAATTTTAAAACCTCTCATGTTGTCATGTGTCCTCACAATTCAGAAGGTTTTACCCATCTTTCATTTCAATGCTATTAACACACCTAGAAATAGAAGTAAGTTTCTCTTTTTCAAAGATTATATAACCAACACCAATATTTTATATTCGTATATAGGTTTCCAGCTTTAAATGCATTATATCCGCTATGCTATTTTAAATCATTTATTTTCTTAAACCTTGATGAGAATACACCTTCCTTCTTTACAAATGCTCTTATTTTCTTAATCTCCTTTAATAAGGAATCATATATATTAGATTATAATTTATAGCATATTTATAAGTCTGAATGAAATATGTTTACATATAGTAATTATTTATATTATAATGAGGGGAATCTATTGCATAATTTAAAAATTATGTTATTACAGTAGGTTTAATTTCTTAGGTTTCGCTTTACTTTTCATATGCTGCACAAGCAGAGACATTATCCTAGGAGTCACTTTCATAATTTTGAAGATTCATTTAATAAAATCTAACATATTAAAATGTTACACAAATAATTTCATATACAGGAATAGAAAAATATTTTCAAAAACATACCAAAAATGAAAGCAAGTCATTACAGTCTTATTACAAAAGTACAGCCATTCAAAAACTAAATAAGAACACATTGTTTGAGTATCTGTCATAATTAAGCTTGCCTCTCTCTTTTTTGGACTAAAGGGTGATTTGATCTTTTGACTGCCATGAGATGAAAATTACAAGAATTAGGAGAAAGGGTAGTCAAAGGGATTTACATGACCATTTTCCTATCAAAGATAATGCCAAATGATATGGAGATATTATCCCCACTAGTATCCCTCTTTCAATAGAGAGGGATCTTCAGCCTTTCAATGCCTTCTGCCCACAAGCTGGCTTTACTTACTCAGCCATAAGATGGCAGAAGAAGGAGGGGTTTTCAGTGATCTAACACTAAGATTCTGCAGAAAATATAAGAGAAATATTCTAGGACAAGAAGGGAGTGTTCTGGCATAGTTTATTACCCTAATCTAGTGTGAAAATTGGGGGCATATTCAACTAATTTACTTTTACCTTATTGAGGATACAAATAAGTTTCCCCATAATCTATCAAGACATACATTTCATGAAGCTCAAGCAAACAAGATTTCAAAATAAAGGTCGGCTACACGTGGTGGCTCACACCTGTAATCCCAGCACTTTGGGAGTCCAAGATGGGTGGATTGCTTGAGTCCAGGAGTTTTGAAGACCAGCCTGCAATGTGGCAAAGCCCCATGTCTACCAAAAAAAAAAAAAAAAAATCAGCCAGGTGTGGTGGCTCACGCCCATAGTCCCAGCTACATAGGGGGCTGGGGTGTTAGCGTCACTTGTGCCCTGGAGGCAGAGGTTGCAGTAAGCCGAGATCACACCACTGCACTCCAGCTTGGGAGACAGAGCGACACCCTGTCTCAAACAACAACAACAACAACAAACAAACAAGCAAATGAAACAAGAAATAAATATAACTCAAAAAGGGGAAATGGTGTTGTTTATTCTCTTCCCACAGTACAAATAAGCAAGAAAAGGTTTTTAAAATGATACCTGCACAAGAATCTTGCCCAATTTTGTTTAAGGAGAACCATCAGAGTCTATTAGGACAATCTGTCCCCTTGAAAATAAAAATCTTGACCAGGACTGCAGATAAAGCTAGATAGACAGATATAGATGGAAATAGAGATGAGAGAGACAGAGGTATGACCTCTTCCAAAAATCTCAGACTTTTTTTTATGATTAAAATAGGTTAAAACTTAAATCAGGTTTAGGTAATCTGGTAGATGATTGAATTTTCACTAAGATCACTATTGAAATTTTACTTTAAAAGAAAATATGGACTGGGTGCTGTGGCTTATGCCTGTAATCCCAGCACTTTGGGAGGCCAAGGCAGGTGGATCACGAGGTCAGGAGATCGAGACCATCCTAGCTAACACGGTGAAACCCTGTCTCTACTAAAAATACAAAAAATTAGCTGGGCATGGTGGCAGGCGCCTGGAGTCCCAGCTACTCGGGAGGCTGAGGCAGGAGAATGGCGTGAACCCGGGAGGCAGAGCTTGCAGTGAGCTGAGATGGCGCCACTGCACTCCAGCCTGGGCAACAGAGCGAGACTCCATCTCAAAAAAAAAAAAAAAGAAAAGAAAATAATATGGCTAAATACAATATCGAAAATTAGTAAATAATGAAGAAATCCAAAGGTGTAGAGAGGGCAAAGAATACGGGGTGAGGGGAAGAAACCTGAAACTCTGACTACAAAATACAAAGCATAAATAATCAATTTAGATATGCTAAAGAAATATAAGGAAATACTTGAAAATTATAACATATTTTCATATCACAGTAATTATTTGAACATCTACTGTGTAAAGAAGCAGGCCAACAAGAAAACAAAGGAATACTAAAACCATAGTATATGCTAAGTGAGGAATCTAAGTGACAGACCCCATATTCCTGAGGTCTGTCAAGATGTAGCCAGTAGAGCTGAAAGAAACAGCTGACCAGCAGCAGTTGTTGTCTGAATCTGGAATACATAGGTGGCATCTCAGTGTCCTTGACCATAACCTGAAGTCTATGATTGGCTAGATTACCATCACTCACAAACCTAGTGTGCACACTTCCCAGTGTTGGGCTAACACGCTATACAGATGGAGACTCAAGTCTTTGAGTAACTGATAGGACATGAAGACCTTCCAGACCTAGTCTCCTTCTACTGCCACCACCTTGAACATCACATAATCCGTTCTGCATTAAATATAACACAAAGGAGAATTGCCATTGCCATCAAATATTACCAACCACACCAACACCATGCTGCTAGCTCATGGTAGTAGTAGTGTCTGTTTCTCTCATACAGAACTTGACTCTTATGGGCCTTACAAACAGATTCTTTGTGTCCACTGTCATGGAGTACTGCACATCCTGGGAAACCAGAAGCAAATAAGTTACTTGGGTGTTTTTCTAAGTCTCTGTTTATGGCAGTGTGCTGCTAAAATGCACACTCTAGGGCTGTGTTTTCATACTTGATAAGTGCAGAGGCAGTTTGGTGAAAATGAAGACCTGGTTATATTGTTTCCTTTCAGCTTACAGTAACTCCAGATCTCTGGCAGTAATCATAGAATTGTACTTGTCTTTAATCTACCTCTATTGAAGGCTTTAGGGTGAAGGGAAGGTGGTATTATGAAGCCCAAATATCTATTTTTTTTTCTGTGATCTGGATCTGAAACACAGGAAACAGCAGATATGGTCTTAAAGCAGATATGGCTCCTTGGGACCTAGTTCATAAATGATGACATGATGATTAGGAGTGGACTGTCTTTTACAGCAAGAAGTTACATTTTCTAGAGTCTTTAATTATTGATGATCTCAGAATCCACACTGTAGATTAGTATAGCCTTGGAATTTACGGGTTTGAGTGATGGGTTTGCTTTTGGTACTTTTATACCAATGTAAATGCTTTATTAAAGTTTTCATTAAGTCTTCAGTAGCCCGGTAAAACCTTAAAGATAGTTTTATATTATACCTTGTATCCAAATTCCTGATAGAAAAGTGATAGCCAGGGAGGAAAAACTTTTTTTCTGGGATTACTGTACTGAACTACTATATATTACAGCTGAGTAAAATCACTGATAACCCACAACTTTGGTGAAGACCAATGCAGATTTGGATCTATGTGGGGACCCACCATCCAATATCATGATAGTTAAATTAACCTCAACCCATTTCTTTCCACTGAGAAAATTGCCCATCCTCATTCAGGATATTTTCTGCCACCATTCTCTAAGCAAACAGAAGAGAAGACATGGGAATTAGGATTCAAAATATACTTATGAATACTGCTCTGTCTACATGTTCTGCCATCTATATGGTCTCTACAAGATGCTCTCCTTGATTTTTTGCAGCATTCCTAGATCCAGTAATACACACTAGTGAATGGCTATATCTGTGAGTCCAAGGCACCTTGTAAAAATGTAACTCATTTTTCCAAGTTACCTTTCTCAAGGCAAATGAGTAACTCAAATGAGTTACATTTTTCCAAGGTGCTTTGAGACTCACAGATGGATCCAATTTCTATTTAGTACCCACTCCTGAGTCTTTTGATTTGAAAATGCAGTTTTTTAAATCTATAGAAACATGAATTACCCTCTCGCTCCCCATACCTCTCAAGTTCCCCATCCTAAGGCCCAAAATCTCTGCAAAATTAGCAATGAAGGAACCACTCTCCAGCACCTCTGGAACAGAATTCTGCAGTTCAGTATCCTGAATGGTACATGCTTAGTAAAACAGAATCACACTTTGTTTTAGACTGGGCTTTAAGTATTACATTATTCCTTCTTCTAACACCTTCCAGCAAATATGGTCCTACACAAACTCTGATCACCCTAATGTTTCTATTACTTATGCCACCAGAATCTTAGACATCCAATACAACTTTCACAGACAGGGTAATATAATATGAAACATACAGCACTGTATTTGCAATCTGCTTTAACCACCATTTGAGCCTGCAGTGCCATTATAGGACCGCCCCCCACCCCCCGTCAGTGCATTAAACTCTCTAGAAAGAAAAAAAGTATTTGAGAAAGGCAAATGAAAACACCAAACACTTTGTATTTATGTAATTATTATCCAGTGTATTGAATAATGTCTGTTTTCATTTTATCAGCAACTATCATAAATATATTAAATATCAACAAATAGGTCTTATTTGAGGCATATTCTGTTGTATCTTCTTTAATTTTCCTAAGCCATACAGGAGAGTATTAAACACTGACATAAAGAAAAAAAAGATAAGATTGTTTTGTCGGTCTGTTTTACATGACATTTAATGTACTGGATATGCTATGATATTAATTGCCAAAGAATTAATCATTTTTGATGTTTAATAAGGAAACAGTAAAAATTAACAAACACAAATTTAACATTGACATAAATAAGCTACACAGCAACTCAGTTGATTTACGTCTTAAATAACGAAAAAGACATTTATTTCTACAGTTTTTTTTCTTGTAGTTGTATATCTCCATTTGATTTCGTGGTCATCAATATCACCAAAATCATCAAATGACTATTTCAAATAAAAAGTTAAAACCATATATTAATAATAGTAATCAAGTAAATAGTTACTTAAACTAAGTAAATGGAGACCAGTCCTGCTGAAAAGTAGACTATCACAACTTGTCAGCCATCATTTACGAAATATCAAGAAAAGCAAAAGATGACTTTAAAATAAATAGCTTGACCTTCTTTGAGAAGTTACGAAGACTATCATTTTATGGATTGAAGTGGGATGAATTTCCTTGTCAAGCTTCAGAATATCTGCTAGGACAGTCTACTCAAAGTTTTAGGGGTAATTTACCTTTGAGAAAGATCAAAGGAAACTAGGCATGAGCAGAAAAAAATGCGTTCCTTTTCTGTGCTTAACAATAAAGAGGAAATACACTACTAGATTCTAAATAGACCTTTGTGAAATAGATAAAAAGATAAAAATAGCTAAGCCATCAATATCTGTTAACTGTTAATGAACAATTAGCTATGCTTCAGAAAAAAAACACGATGGAAATTAGAGCCATAAAATAACCAAAACATTCAGAACGGTGCTGTTATTCCTCTACCTTTTATCCAGAATCCAAAAGGAAGAACGCCAAGGATGATAGCTGTCTCTACCTACTGTCTTGTTTTGAGCTTCCTGGAACCTAATTTCATTGGAAATACAGTGATGTTGCGTGTAGCTCTCTTTTCTGGTTTGCATTATTAGGTTGTCAGATTATGGAATATTTTAAATATCCAATGAAAAGAAAACTCTGGTAGGAAGGATCAAAGCTTTTTCTTGTTTTGTTTTGTTTTTGTTGTTGTTGTTGTTTTATCTCAGGGTGCTGAGATTATGGTTCTTAAACAGATGAAGTCTTCCCAGAAGTGCTCCAGGATGAGGCAGATAAGTGTCAACATGACCAATTCTATGTGATTGTCATCCAATGGCATGGTCTTCCACCGTCCTTCACATGAAGAAACAATTTCTGAAACTATTTCTGCTTGTAATTGCCTGAGTATTTGCCACGTGGCACTGAAATTTCCTGGTAATTCTCTTGCAGTGGATGCTTATGATGCATGGGGTATCAGTGGTATTTAAAATGTTCTGCTAGCATTTAAAATGCTCTCCAGAGGTTGCAGAATTCAGTGAGCCTGGAGAATTCTGAGAGCCGATTCATAATTATTTACTCAGACTAAATCTTCAGCCGGTTGCTGTGAGACCTGCATCTCAAAGATTGTCATTGATTGTCATGACTTGGACTTAGGAGGTCTCAGATATCTACCATTCTTCTCTGGGAGAGTTAAACTTACCTTGGGCTGTGGTTCATCCAGCGATTTTTTTCACGCGTATGGACAAATTACTTACCCCAATATTGCACAGCACATTATTGTGAACATGGAAATTGAAAATGAGTGTGTAGTTTCCAATGATGGAAAATTTACCCAAACCTCATACATGTTCCTGGTGCACATTCTGGAACATTCAGAAGAATTTTTCAAAGGAGGAAACGGTTACACCTCAGACACAGATTTTTCTCAAAAGACAAATTTTTTTTTTTTTTAAATACAGGTAATTCTTGGAAATGCAGGGCTCCTATAGGTCCGATTTTCTACTTGAGAGCAAGGACTCTTCTGTGGGTCGATCTGAAATATTATTTGGTCTCTTTGGAAACTATCCTGCTCCAGTCTGTCCTCCCGCCGCTCCCCTTTCCGCCGCCAGCGCCAATCTCCAGAAACCCTGACCATAAAAAAGCAGTTTTCCTTTTCCTGGGCCGCCTGCGCTACACCCGGGAAGAAAATGAAAACCCACCACCTGCGTTTTCTGCCAGATTTTTTTCTCGCACAATTTCCTGTATATCCTCTGAGTGCATTGCCTTTAGTAAATGAAGTCTTCGGAAATCCTGTAAGACTTCCAAACATTTGTGTAGTCCCCATTCGTTTGAAGAAAGCTCTAAAATCTGAGCTCGCTGCGGACGTTTTCCAACTCGTATCTGTTCCCAGCACCTTTCAGATTTTGTCTTTTCTAAGATGGAGTCTGCAGGCAAATGCAGGGCTCCTCCTCCTCCTACTTTTTAGCCTGTAGTGCCACCAGGCGTCCGAACTGAAAACCTGGGCTGTACAGCGCTTTCCTGCGGAAACTGTCAAAATCTGTTCATATTCACATCTAGGGGCGGAATTCTCACCTCTTGAGTTTTAATTACTTCTCCAATATTTAGTTTACTTAATGTGAACAAAAACAATGGTTGTTTATTATCATAATATCAGCTGTGAGATTTCCTTTGAGAGGAACCGAATTGGATTTCTTTCATTTCAATCAAGCCAGTCATTTGGCCATAAATTCATTGAACTGATTAATTCTTCGCAGGTATTTTTTACACACAGATTATATTCAAGCACTGTAAAAGACATTGGGGATATAAAGTTGAGTAAAGTCTGGTGCCTACACCGCAGGAGGTTAGAATATTAAAAAGGTGACTCGGTGATTTGCATAGGCACTATCAGGTACTAAAAAGGGATATTTAAGAACAGAAGTGAGGTATCAGGAAGAGTCTCAGAGGAGGTGAGGTTTAAGCTAAGTTTAATTTTATGGTACCAACTTAAACACAAACCCATTGAAATGATTTTCTACTGCAGATGAAGTATTTCTGATTTTGCAGGAAATAAGATTTTTCTCGAATGATGTGAATGAACATCGTGGCCCATAGCGGGGTTGCAGTCTTTCAGTCAGTCAACATCACAGAGCCCTGTATGAAGTGTCAAGGGATGACAACTAAAAGACTAGGGATAGGGCCGGGCGTGGTGGCTCACGCCTGTAATCCCAGCACTTTGGGAGGCCAAGGCGGACAGATCACTTGAGGTCAGGAGTTCGAAACCAGCCTGGCCCACATGGTGAAACCCCGTCTCTACTAAAAATACAAAACAGCTGCATATGGTGGCTCATGCTTGTAGTCCCAGCTACTTGGGAGGCTGAGGAAGGAGAACTGCTTGAACCCAGGAGATGGAGGTTGCAGTGAGCCGAGATCATGCCACTACACTCCAGCCTGGCCAACACAGCAAGATTCTGTCTCAAAAAAAAAAAAAGGATAGGGATAGGCCTCTTTTTTCTCTTTGAACTTGGCTCACATCTCCAGTTTAAAGGAAAATCCTGCAGCTTGAGTTAACAATATCTTAAGGAAATATTTAAAGTGGTGATTAAGACTTTATGATGTTGGCTGGGCACGGTGTCTCACGCCTGTAATCCCAGCACGTTGGGAGGCCAAGGTGGGCGGATCACCTGAGATCAGGAGTTTGAGACCAGCCTGGCCAACGTGGTGAAACCCCGTCTCTACTAAAAATACAAAAATTAGCAAGGTGTGGTGGCATGCGCCTGTAATCCCAGCTACCCAGGAGGCTGAGGCAGGAGAATCGCTGGAACCCAGAAGGCAGAAGGCTTCGGTGAGCTGAGATCGCACCACTGCACTTCAGCCTGGGGAACAGAGCAAGACTGTCACAAAAAAAAAAAAAAAAAAAAAGACTTTATGATGTTAAGAGTCATATTCAAGTCCTGGCTCTGCTTCTTCACATACATTAAATTAGGAAAAGTATTTAATCTCTCCAAACTTCTGCTTTCTCATCTGAAAAAAATTATGGATATAATAGTGTTATCTCCTTCATGAAGTTGTGACAATCAAATGAAACAGTGCAGGCCAGGCGCGGTGGCTCACACCTGTAATCCCAGCACTTTGGGAGGGTGAGGTGAGCGGATCATGAGATCAGGAGATTCAGACCGTCCTGGCCAACATGGTGAAACCCTGTCTCTACTAAAATACAAAAAATTAGCCAGGTGTGGTGGTGCGCACCTGTAGTCCCAGCTACTCAGGAGGCTGAGGCAGGGGGGAATCACTTATACCCAGGAGGCCGAGATTGCAGGGAGCTGAGATCAAGCCGCTGCACTCCAGGCTGGTGGCAGAGCGAGATTCCATCGCAAAAAAAAAAAAAAAAAAAGAAAGAAAGAAAGAAAGAAAAAAGAAAAGAAAAGAAAAGAAAAAGAAACAGCGCTTATGAAATGCTCAGCTCAGAGCATGGAACATCATGGTACTTCATAAATGTTTACTATTATTAGTGTAATACTATGAAAGCAAGAACTTCTCTACATTGTCTGGTTTACTCCTACAAACAAATATAAGTCTAAATGACTCCTACACTGCACTCTATTATCCTTCTCCCTTACCTCAATGGAACATGCAGCACATTCTTATTTATGCAAAAATCTAGAACCTTTAAGCATAGCATAAGTTATGAGAATTTCACTCACAGTTTCACCCTTGTTGAATATGAATTATTTTCATTCCTGCATATTCAAACTCTCTCTTTTCAATGAATTATTTGATCTTATCATCCACCTCAAAAATCTTGCCAGAAGCTGGGCACAGTGGCTCACACCTATAATCCTAGCACTTTGGGAGGCTTAGGTGGGCGAACTGCCTGAGCTCAAGAGTTCAAAACTTGCCTGGGCAACAAGGTGAAACCCTGTCTCTACTAAAAATACAAAAAATCAGCTGGGCGTGGTGGCGCGCCTGTAATCCCGGCTACTCGGAAGGCTGAGGCATGAGAATTGCTTGAACCCAGGAGGCAGAGGTTGCAGTTAGCTGAGACCATGCCACTGCACTCCAGCCTGGGCAACAGAGTGAGACTGTCTCAAAAAAACAAAACAAAACGAAACAAAAACAAACTTACCAGGATCCCACACTTCTTTTCAGCTACCATCTCATTTCTATTAATTTCTTAAATATTCAAGCTTCTTGAAAAGATTTTATACACGTACTGACAATACTTCCTCAATTCCTCAGTCTCTCCTTAAACTTTTACAATTCGACACTAAAAGTGTTCATTAATTCACTTCCATAATGCCAAATTCAGTAGATACTTTCATTCTCTTCTCATTTGAACTTTCAGTAACATTAAACATAGTCCACTATTCCCTCCTTCTTGAAACACTCTCTTCTGACTCCTGTGACAGCACCCTCTTTTGAAATTTTTTCTCTCTACCCATTCCTTTTCAATCCCTTTGGGGACTCCTTATTTATCCTTTATATATTAAGGCTTCTTAATTTTGTTTCCCCTATACACTTTCTTTTCTTGTTCTATCTTCTGTTTCATGGAATTTTAATATAGCAATTGCTACATACTAAGTGTGCCATAGTGGGAAGACCCTTTAACCTCCCTGACCTTATTACGATTCTTCATTTATAAAATGTATAATGTGTTCTTTATACTAATACAATACCCAATTTCTACAAGACTCAATTTCTTCATCTGTGAAATGGGCAATAAATTCTTAAGAGACAATGAGATCAAAGATGTAGAGAGACATATTAAAATATATATTTTTCTTTTTTTTTTTTGAGACAGGGTCTCACTCTATTGCCCAGGCTCAAGTGCAGTGGCACAATCTCGGCTCACTGCAACCTCCATCTCCCAGGTTCAAGCGATTCTTGTGTCTCAGCCTCCCAAGTAGCTGGGATTACAGGTGTCTGCCATCACACCAGGCTAATTTTTGTATTTTTAGTAGAGACAGGGTTTCACCATGTTGGCCAGGCTGGTCTCGGACTCCTGACCTCACGTGATCCTCCTGCCTCAGCCTCCCAAAGTGCTGGGATTACAGGCATGAACAACTGCACATGGCCTAAAATATTTTTTTTTCATACTGGTCTCCATTCTACATGGTTTGGTAGCCCTGCCATGAATCTATCTAATTCTTTTAAACTAAGAAGTCTATCTTGAATGTCATATTCATGTTGTGAGTACGCTAGCGAGTCTCAAAACTTTTTTACTTTTCCACAGTTGACAATGGGATGTTTCTCAAAGAACTGCTATGACCTAAGTTTCTTAAGGATCCCATATATGGTAGATTCTTTCAAGATTCAGGATGCACCTTCCATACTGTACTATCATAATGAATGTCATATGTTTTGCCACTTTTGAGGGGAGAATGAAGGATTTAATTTCTAAAGCCTAAAAAGGAAGATCTTTAGGCTTCTGAAGATGGTGATCAGAAGTATCTTTGACATCTCCATCTCTTTCACCACCCTGTCTAACCCATCATCAAGTTTGGTGTATTTTCTCTTCAAATTATTATGACAAATTATTCCATTTCTATTTGAACCCACTTACAACACCCTTACCTGGAATATCTTCATTTGCTCACTGGACTCTTATAAATATGTCTCTTGTCTTTTTCAAACCCACTCAGCCAGTTCTCCACAGACCAGTCAGAATGACCTTGTAAAAATCAAAGTAAAATTCTGTCACTCTGCAGCTGAAATATCTGCAGTGAGTTTTCATTGCTTCAATAATAAAGTTTAAAATCCTCAGTATGGACTAAAAGATCTGGCAATGACCCAGCCCCTGCCTACTTTTCTGGCTTCATTTTTAAAAGTCCTCTCCTTAATAAGTGACTTCCAGCCACACTGACCTATCTATTCTCCAAGATTTCCAAATTCCTTCTAGTCTTCCTTTTTTTTCGTGTGATGTTCTCTCTGTATCCCCATGTTGGTTAGCCCTTGCTTTCCTTTGCATTCTAGTTTAAATGCCAGCTCTCTCAATGAGGCCTTCTCTGACTCCACTAGTAGGGTATATATCTCTACACACATATGTATATATGTTAGATACATAGTCTTTCCCAGGATACTATAAGCGCCATGACAGCATGGTATTCCATGGAGCATAATGGTTCCTTTGTTAAGTGACTAAATCTGATGTGACATTCATATTTTTTCCTTCCCAAAATAATAAAGATTACTGGAGTATAATGTGACAAGCATGTTCTGAACAATACTCTGCTTTTTTTCCCAAGGAATATGAATTTTGGAATGAAAGGCAGGTTGTGTTGAATGAAGCCGACTAATATCCTCCCACCAGACTTTTAGTAATTGGATGACAGGGACTCTTATTTATTCATTTTTATTTCCTCTTTCATTTAAATATCACCATAGTTCAGTCTCAGACTTAGATATTAACTGATAAAAAGACTATATTTTATTTATAGAAATATGGTCCACAGAGATCTGATAAAGAGTATCACTTTCCTACTTCTGAATTTTTATTTACAAACTCTTAAATTTCAACCCTATTTAGGTTTTGCAGTAATCTATACTCATAGTCTCTGGTCTCCCTGTAGAAATATCAGTGTTTACTAACATCCATTTATTTAACAAAATTGTATTGAGGGTCTACTCCAAGAAACTGAGATCATCTCTGAGGAATACAAACTGTAAGTAAAACCAAACACTATCCCTACCCTCAGGAAGCATGATCTGATGGGGAAGAAATACTTTAATCAAATCATCCCACAAATGGATGAAAGACTGAAATTTGGCTACATACTACAAATAAGTGATCTGGTGGCTCTGAGAACCTATAAAAGCCTATAATAGATTTTTATCCAGTCAGAGCAGTCAAAAAAGGCTTCCCTGAATAAATGGCAAGGATAGATAGGCAAAGAAGGAGCGAAACAGCAATTCATGCAGAGAGAACAGCATGCACAATATAGTGGATTTCTCTAAACACTGAAGTCTTTTTTTTTTTTTTTTTTTTTTTTTTTGAGACAGAGTCTCACTTTGCCGCTCAGGCTGGAGTGCAGTGGCGTGATCTCAGCTCACTGCAACCTCCGCCCCCCGAGCTCAAGCGATTCTCCTGCCTTAGTTTCCCAAGTAGTTGGGATTACAGGCACCTGCCACCGCGCCCAGCTAATTTTTGTATTTTTAGTAGAGGCAGGGTTTCACCATCTTGGCCAGGCTGGTCTTGAACTCCTGACCTCATGTTCCACCCGCCTCCGACTCCCAAAGTGCTGGGATTATAGGCATGAGCCACTGCCGGCCGACACTGAAGTCTTAATATATACATTCCCCCATCCAGATTTTCAGTGAGGACCAAATTTGTTCCTAACTTCCTAAAGGGGGAAATAGTACTTGGGACCAGAAGAGGGAAGTAGCTCCTTGCAATGTGAATTTTCCACGCTAGTAGGAAAAGAGCTTTTTTGAGTCACCTTCAAATTAAAGGAAGAAATACAGTGCTAGCATGTATTAAATTCATAAAGGTTTTCATTCTCATTTCAGAGTTGCTGCAACTAATGGCAGTTAAGAAGCCTGGAGGCCGGGCGCGGTGGCTCACGCCTGTAATCCCAGCACTTTGGGAGGCCGAGGCGGGTGGATCCCCTGAGGTCGGGAGTTCGAGACCAGCCTGACCAATAGGGTGAAACCCCGTCTCTACTAAAAATACAAAAATTAGCCGGGCCGTGGTGGCGGGCGCCTTTAATCCCAGCTACTCGGGAGGTTGAGGCTGGAGAACCGTTTGAACCCAAGAGGCGGAGGCTGCAGGGAGCCGAGATCGCACCACTGCACTCCAGCCTGGGAGACAGAGCGAGACCCTGTCCCAAAAAAAACAAAACAAAACAAACAAAAAAACAAAAAAACACTGGCTGTCACCCTCGTCCGCACAGTTAGACATCTGTTGGAGCCGACGCGTAATTTCGGAGGCTGTAAAAATTCCCATCTCCTAAATTATACATCCAGGAGAGAAACCCTGTTCTATAAGGAGCTACTCCAGGAATCCTGGGCAGTCTACTGGACTCACTTCCTCTTCCTTCTGGTAGGACCGCTTTTAGGGCCGGTACCGGAAGTGCTAGCCACAGCGACTTCAGGTAGTCTCGGTCTTAGCGGATTCCGCGGACTTTCTTGTCTTTCTGCGTACTGCACTAACTGAGCGACCAATTGATACCTAAGTTTAGCTGAACTTTTTGTTGAATTAATTAAAACTGTTTTGAAATCTATTCTGTAAGAGCCTGAGAAAAATTGCGGCCACAGAAGCTGTTTTGAAATGCGCTTGGCTTCCGACTTCCGCAAGGGGAGGCAGCTGTTTCTTGTGTAAGCAAAGTCGAACTGAAAGAGGATGAAAAGAAGGGAAAGGGATTTGTGAAGATTTTATTAGGATTTTTCCCCCCTTTAGGCTGGAACATTTCTTCTAATTATTCTTTTTTTTTTGAGATGGAGTCTCGCTCTGTCGCCAGGCTGGAGTGCAGCGGCGCGATCTCGGCTCACTGCAGCCCCCGCCTACTGGGTTCAAGCGATTCTCCTGTTTCAGTCACCCGAGTAGCTGGGATTACCTACAGGCGGGCGCCACCACGCCCAGCTAATTTTTGTATTTTTAGTAGAGACGGGGTTTCACCATGTTGGCCAGAATGATCTGGATCTCTTGACCTTGTGATCCGCCCGCCTCGGCCTCCCAAAGTGCTGGGATTACAGGCATGAGCACCGCGCCCCGCTGGAACATTTCTTTACTATTTCTGGCACATTCTGGGGATGGGATAGCTGCGACTGTTTTGCAGTGCACTCATCAGCTGATCTGAATGCTCTTTCGCTTGCTGGAATCACAGCGTTTTGATCATGTTAAGAAAAAAAAAAGGCATGAATAGGGATTAAACTTCAAGTGGCATAAAGATCGTTTTAAAATGCATACATTTGAGAATGGAGTCCTCCTTCCATATATAAAGTGTAATTTGAGGCAGTTTTGTGAATGGAATTAAAATACTACGAGTTAGGAAATTACACAACCCAGTTAATTTATTTCTGTAGGTTACTTTGCAAGGGTAGGTTAGTAACTATACGTGGGCTGATTGTGCTAGTTACATCTGAAAGTATACTAATTCTGGCTTCTGAAGTGGAAGTATTACGTGTGTTTCATGTGATATGGAGCAGCAAGGTAAAAAACCAGATGTTGAGAACTGGTGCGTTTGTCTGCATAGGCACAGGTTGGAGAAAAAAGTAAGAGTAAATCTGGGTAGTTTGAACAGACAGGCTGGAGCGTCTAGGAAGAATTATCCTGAGGCTGGTTCAGGTTAATTGAAAGTTTTAACAGAAAACTTTCAAGAAGGTGTACTTGCTGAACTGCTGGTACAGAAAATTATTTTTCTGAGTAATAATTATGGAAAGTAGTTTGCGTAGGTAGAGCAAACTACTCTTTCCTCAGCTTTTCATTCTCTTTTGGATTCTCTCTGCTTCTCCCAGTTTTCTACTTTGCATTGATTCTTTCTCCATTTTCTTTTTTTTTTTTTTTTTTTTTTTTTTTTTTGAGACGGAGTCTCGCTCTGTCGCCCAGGCCGGACTGCGGACTGCAGTGGCGCAATCTCGGCTCACTGCAAGCTCCGCTTCCCGGGTTCACGCCATTCTCCTGCCTCAGCCTCCCGAGTAGCTGGGACTACAGGCGCCTGCCACCGCGCCCGGCTAATTTTTTGTATTTTTAGTAGAGACGGGGTTTCACCTTGTTAGCCAGGATGGTCTCGATCTCCTGACCTCGTGATCCACCCGCCTCGGCCTCCCAAAGTGCTGGGATTACAGGCGTGAGCCACCGCGCCCGGCCCTCCATTTTCAGCATAGAGTAAGGTCAGGTGACTGAGTACACAAGAAGTGCTCAGTTGGCAACTCACCAGTGAATGTAACCATGTACAAAGGGAAACTGGATTATTAAGATAAAAAGAAGATAATTTTCCCCTAAACTATACACTATAATATCACAATCAGAAGGTATTTTAGGGAGTAGGGTGGGTTTTATTTACAGAAGTATTTGTGTGTATATATTTGTTTATATAGATGGTCTTCCATAAAGAAGCAAGTACAAATAGCTACAATTGAACTGTATAAATCAACACAAGTGGGAGTTAATTCAAGTTTATTTAGTGAATACGAAGTGCAGAATAGTATAGTAGAGTAAGAATTATTAACACTGAAGATAAAAGCAGATTAAATATTTCTGAATAGGTTCAATTCACTAGGTAGATTATGTAAAGGACCATATTAAAAAGACATCCAAAGCAAGAAATTGAAATAGCAATTTAAAAATAAATACCTACTTAAAGTAAATTCAGAATCATCTTTTTTCTAGAGCTGATTTTTTTTTAACATGAGGTATTGTCTGACAGTGCCACTTCTCTCTCCTAATTAAACATAATCAGGGTTCAGATTTGGTCAAGTAAAATACGTTTCAGGTTCTCCAGATACTAGCATAATACTTGGTGTGTATTGATTACTTAAATGTAAATTCATGGAAGAGAATCCAGGTATATTTGGACAAAAACAGCACTTTTAATTAAGCATGTTGACATTCTGTTCAGTATAATTTCTTCTTCTGTTCCTTTATTCCATTACTTATTCAAATTGTATTGCTGTTTTCCCTTGTATAAAGCCACACATACTGAATATGCAAATATATAGAGAAAAAATTCAAGCCACCTTGTCAGTCACAATTTAAGATTGACAAATATTCAATTGAAGATCAGTTGAATTTTTTCCTTCATATCTTGTTATGTGAGATGAATAAAGGTTTTATTTGGAGGCAAAATAGAGGTTTTTAAGATTTTGCAGGGCTTATGAAGCATAATCTAATTAAACAGATTTGTGACTGTGTGCCTTTTGAGTATTCTGGGGTTTTCTATTACCGCTTAGTTGTTCCAAAAAATTTTTTTTATTAATTTGAGACATGGTCTCGCTCTGTTCCCCAACTCCTGTTCTCAAGGGATCCACCCACCTAGGCCTCCCAAACTGCTGGGATTACAGGGTGAGCCACCCCATTGGCCTTAAAGTATTATGAGGCTTTCTTATGTTTGTAAAACTACCGTCTTGAAATTCACAATAGTGGTATTTTTTATGATTTTTCTAGGAAAAAAAGGGGGGTGAATGGAAGCCCAATTTAGAAATGTTGAGAGGTCAATGAAAGTCCAATTGACTAATATGTCAAGAGGTTTTATATTGAGTTCTCTGAGAGCTCATTTGATTAAAAAAGAAGTCTGCTTATTTACTAAGGGAGCAATGAATTCTAATTAAGTTTAATGTTTAGGAACAGGCTTTTCTCATATTCTCCTAAGGCCAAGGGATATTTCACTCTGAAACTATTTTGAGGTCAAAGAAGTGCAGTGTTAACTGAAATGTCAGGAAGAAGGGAAACTCCAATTTGTATACGCACTAGAGAAAATGTGTTTTTACGGGGTTCACTGGTAGTGCAAAGGCTTCAACCAAATGTCACTGAAGTCCTAGTACTTCACTGAGTTCAAATTTGGATGTTTTGCAAGACATTTTTTCTCTATTTGTATTAAATTTTATTTTTCTATTTGTTTATATAAATAGCAAGTTCAGGGAAAGTTAATTTTAGAGGGAAATTAGAAGTTCCTTTATGGTTCCTCATGTATTTAGTGACTGGAGGTGGCAATGTATATTTGTGGATTTTATTTTCAAGACTAAATTTTCAAATTCCTTTCAAATTTATATATAATTAGATCAATCAAATCTCTGGCAATTAGGATCAAATTCACACAAAATTTTGTACTGAAAGCATATTGCATTTACATATAGATCAGTGAATCCTACACATTAACACTATGGCGTGTTTTACAAGTAATATTTAATTCTTAAAACTGAGATCCTGGGTGACTTTTAAATGTTGTAAATTGCATTTGGCAACTTAACAGATGTCAATGTGTTTATGTAGTTTACAGTGAATTCAGTGGATTTATTGATAGACTGCTGGATTTATGTATGTTTTTCTATGTGGGCCTTTGGAAGAAAATATACAATTATTTCATAAGACCTGTGTGTGAAATTTAAGGAACGAATTAGCCTTTGATAGGATTTCTTCTTTCTCCTGTCCAGTAATCTCAGAGAGTTCATTGAAATTAGTGAAATGTGAGCAAGTTCACTTAGTGTGCACTTTAAATTGAAATGATAAGATTTAGCAAATGGATGAATTCCCTAATAACTCATGATCAGTGTGTTCAAAGAGATGCAGTTAAATTCAGATCAATCAGTATAATTTCAGTTTGAGGTTAATAGGTGACATCAGTACATTTATTTAACCCTGGAGAGGAATTCTCAGTGAATACCTGAAAAGGTTCCTTAGATCCAATATAGTATAGATGAGTTCTAGGGTTTATTATAGTTTTAAAATTAAATTATTTTGCTTATAAGGTGGATTTTAAAACTTTGCATTTTTTATGTAATTTTTGATTTAATTAAAATTGAGTGAGGAGTGATTCATTCTATGATCAATTCACATTAACGCAGAAAGCCATAGTTCCTACAATGGTACCTTTGTTGGCCATATATAAAAGGTTCTATGCATAAATCACCTATTCAATTTAAAAGTTTCCAACTTACATTTGTTTTATTTTAAAGTACTATTTTTTTTTTAACAGGCAAGCATTTTGACTAAGAAATCTGGCTGTTGGGAAACCTGTAGGCAATGTCAAAAAACCTTATTTCAGTCAAGTCAAGAAAATGTCCGTAAAACTGATTATGTGTTGGTAGAGTTTTTTAAAAAAACATAAAATACATAGAGAAAATAATACAACAATGACTAGCCTAACCACTGTTCAGCTTTATGAAATTTTAATGCCTGCTTTACTTGTTCCAGGTCTTTTAGAAAATAAAACGTTGATGTATTCAAGGCTCCTGAAAATATATTATTTCCCCCTTTACAAAGAGGTTTTATATATATATATATATTGAGACCGGGTCTCACTCTTGCCCAGGCTGGAGTGCATCAATGCAATCATAGCTCATTGCAGCCTGGACCTCTTGGGCTCAAGCAATCCTCCTAACTCAGACTCCTAAGTAGCTAGGACTACAGGCATGCACTGCTATGCCTGGATTTTCCCTCCCTCCTTCCCTCCCTCCCTCCCTCCCTTCTTTCCTTCCTTTCTTTTCCTTTTCTTCTCCTCTCGTTTTTCTTCCTTTTCTTTTTCTTTTCTCTCTTTCTTTTTTCTCTCTTTCTTTCTCCCTCTTTTTCCCCTTCCTTCCTTCCTTCCTTTCTTCCCTCCCTCCCTCCCTTTCTTTTCTTTCTGACAGGGTCTTCCTATATTGCCCAGGCTGGTTTTGAACTCCTGGCCTCAAGCGATCCTCCTGCCTTGTCCTCCCACAGTGTTTATAGGCGTGAGCCCCTGCACCTGGCTCAGATATCCTTATATATTTCATCTTGTTGACATCTACTCAGTTTCAGAGGTGCTCCGTCTAGAAGTTTAATTACAGTATTATATCTGCATTTCTTCTTCTTGATGAGATGAAGCCAGACTGTGTTCCTGTGTTTTTATTTTTGTTTTCAGCCAGTTTACACTTACACTAGCAGTGCATGAGAGCTGCTTTTGTTTCATGTGCTCTGTAACCCTTGTTCTTTTAATAGTTGCCAATCCGGGTGTGTAGTTCATGTTGGTTAAAATATGCATTTTCCTGTTACTAAAGAATTTGAGAACTTTCATATGTTTATCAACCACACCACTTGGATTTCCTCTTTAAGACTTTTGACGCTTTTTATTAGGTTGTGTGCCTTTTTATTATTGATTTGTAGATACCATTTATAGGCTTTGAATACTAGAACTTTGTGGTTTATACATGGTACAAATATCATTTTCCAAACTGAGGCTTTTCTTTTCACTCTTTTTATGGTGTTCTGTGATGACTAGTTTTTACTTTTAAGGTAGTGAAATTTATCAGTCTTTTCCTTGATTTGTGCTTTTGTGTCCTGTTTAAAACATTCTTCCCCAAAGTCATGAATAGATGTCCAATATTATCTTCTAAGTGTTTGCATTTTGTTTCCCACTTTCAGATTTCTAAATAGCCTAAAATTGATTCTTTTGTATGGTATGAATTAGGGACCCAAATTTTATTTTTTATATGGATACTTAATTGTCCCAGCACCCATTTAAGGGAATGCTGCCTTTTCCCCATAGCTGTGCTCTCTGTCCATATGTATGTTAGTTTATTTTAGGGGCTCTAAATTAGTTCATTTTTCTATTCCTCCACCAGTACCACACTGTATTAATTACTGCAGCTTTATTTAAATAAACTTTTATATTTGGAATGGCAAGTCCTCTCACTTTGTTCTTCGTATTCAAGGGTGCCTTGGCTATTGGTCCTTTGCAGTTCCAAGTATTTAGTGTAATTTAGTCTTGTTGAACATGGCAACATGTGACCACCACCAACAACAAAAATACCTGTTGGGATTTGATTGTGACAGCACAGAATCTATAGATAAATTCAGGGAGAATTGATATAAAGTCTTTAATCCTTACATGTCTTATATGTCTCAACTTATTCAAGAATTTTAAATTTTCTTTAAAAAGTTTTACATTTTTATTTTTGGAAGCCACACACATCTTTTACTAGTATTATTCCCAGGATCCTTCATATTTTGAATACTATTATAAATGATACAATTTTTAAATAACGTTTTACATTTTTATTTTTGGAGGCCACACATCTTTTACTAGTGTTATTCCCAGGATCCTTTGTATTTTGAATACTATTATAAATGATACAACTTTTATTTTTATTATTTTTATTTTTATTTTTGAGACGGGGTCTGGCTCTGTTGCCCAGGCTGGAGTGCAGTGGTGTGATCTCGGCTCACTGCAACCTCCACCTCCCGGGTTCAAGTGATTCTTGTGCCTCAGCCTCCTGAGTAGCTGGGATTACAGGTGCACACCTTCATACCTGGCTAATTTTTGTATTTTTAGTAGAGATGGGGTTTCACCATGTTGGACAGCTAGGACTACAGGTGTGTACCACCATACCTGGCTAATAAAAAAAAATTTTTTTTTGTAGAGATAGGGAGTCTGACTGTGCAGCCCAGGCAAGTCTTGAACTCCTAACCTCAAACAATCCTCCCACCTTGGCCTTCCAAAGTGCTGGGATTACAGGGTGAGCTACCACACCTTGCTGGAGAAATCTTTTGAGGCTGGGAATGGTGGTTCATGCCTGTAATCCCAGCACTTTGGGAGGCTGAGGCAGGTGGATCACTTGAGTTCAAGACCAGCCTGGCCCACATGGTGAAACCCTGTCTCTACTAAAAATACAAAAAAAATTGGCCAGGCCTGGTGGCATGTGCCTGTAATCCCAGCTACTCAGGAGGCTGAGGCAGGAGAATTGTTTGAACCCAGGAGGCAGAGGTTGCAGTGAGCCGAGATGGCACCACTGCCTCCAGCCTGGACGAGAGTGAGACTCTGTCTTTAAAAAAAAAAAAAAAAGACAGAAACCTTTTGAGCCCACTCTCCTCCCTGGAAATGTGTGTGGTACATACTTAACTACTGATTCAATTATTTTAATTGGATTAAGTCTATTCAATTTTACTATTTTTCTTCAACCAGTTTTTCCAGGATATTCATTCTCATAGAGTTGTTCATAGGTTTTTCTTTTGAATTGTTAATCTCTGCTATATCTTTTTTTTTTTTTTTTGAGAGACAGAGTTTCACTCTTGTTAACCAGGCTGGAGTGCAATGGCGCCATCTCAGCTCACTACAACCTCTGCCTTCTGGTTTCAAGTGATTTTCCTGCCTCAGCCTCCTGAGTAGCTGGGATTATAGGCGCGCACCACCATGCTCAGCTAATTTTTGTACTTTTAGTAGAGATGGAGTTTCACCATGTTGGCCAGGCTGGTCTCGAACTCCTGACCTCATGATCTGCCCGCCTCAGCCTCCCAAAGTGCTGGGATTAAAGGCATGAGCCACTGTGCCCAGCCCAATCTCTGCTATATCTTTAGTTTTGTCTGTGCCAAATATTATTTACTTATGCCTTTTTTTCTTTTCTCAATCAGATAATTATCTTTTTTTTTTTTTTGAGACAGGGTCTTCCTCTGTCACCTAGTCTGGAGTGCAATGGCATGATCACAACTTGCTGCAGCCTTAACCTCCTGGACTCACTCCATCCTCCCACCTTAGCCTCCAGAATAGCTGGTACTATAGACATGCACCACCATGCCTGGATAATTTTCATACCTTTTGTAGAGCCAGAGATCTGCCATGTTGTTCAGGCTAGTCTCGAACTCCTGGGCTCAAGCCATCTGCCCTCCTCAGCCTCCCAAAGTGTTGGAATTACAGGCATAAGCCCTGCTTCAGCCATGATTACTTATATAAAGATTCCTTTATAATATAAGCATTTAACAGTACGTATTTCTAAGTAGCACTTTAGTTGCATCTTCCAAGTTTTGGTATGTAGCATTTTCATTATCACTCAGGAAATATTTTCAGATTTTCATTATAAACTATTTTCTTCAAGTTTAAGCTTTAAAACCTTACATGGGGGGTTTATGATTTTTAATTATTGATTTCTAATTTAATTAAATTGAGGTCAAAAGATGTTACCTTTGCCGGGTGTGATGGCTCACATCTGTAATCCCGACACTTTGGAAGGCCGAGGCAGGCGGATTACTTGAGGTCAGGAGTTCGAGACCAGCCTGGCCAACATGGTGAAACCCTGTCTCTACTAAAAATAGCCGGGTGTCCTGGCTCATGCCTGTAATCCCAGCTACTCGAGAGGCTGAGGCAGGAGAATCGCTTGAACCCAGGAAGTGGAGGTTGCAGTGAGCTAAGATCGCGCCACTGAACTCCAGCCTGGGCGACAGAGTGAGACTTTGTCTCAAAAAAAAAAAAAAAGAAAGAAAGAAAAAAAGATGTTGTTCTTATAATATAAATTATTGGTGTCTGTTAGATTTGTTTTATGATCTAATATGTTGTCATCTTATTTAAAAATTTTATGTGTATTTTAAAATAATGGGGATATTTAAGCTATAGAGCATAGGGTTCTCTCCCTATATGTATCTTTTAGATCAAGCCCATTCCTTGAATTCTTCAAATCCAAATTTGGATTTCCTAGCTATTTTCTATTTGGTTCATCTATCAAATACAGGAACAGGTATGTTTAAAACCCCACATATGATTATGGACTCACCAATTTTTATTTTAAATCTGTTTGCCAGGCGCAGTGGCTTAACACTTATAATCCCAGCACTTTGGGAGGCTGAGATGGATGGATCACCTGTGGTCAGGAGTTCGAGACCAGCCTGACTGACATGGCAAAACCCCATCTCTACTAAAAATGCAAAAATTAGCCAGGTGTGGTGGCGAGCACCTGTAATCCCAGCTACTCAGGAGGCTGAGGCAGGAGAATCCCTTGAACCTGGGAGGCGGAGGTTGCAGTGAGCCAAGATGGCCCCACTGCACTCCAGCCTGGGCAACAGAGCAAGACAGCATCTCAAAAAAAAAATGCTGTTTGCTTTATAAATTTTGAGGTTATATTAGATACATTCAGTTGCAGAATTGTCCTATAATGCTTTTTGCCATTAGGACTTTTTTTCTGATATTCATACAGGTTTTCAGATATTGATATTCTGATAACTGGTATTCATATTTAGTATTGTACATGTATGTTTTCCATGTCTTTGCTTTCATTTTACTGGGTGATGGGCAGAATAATAGCCCTCAAAGATATCTCCATCCTAATCCTTGGACCTTGTGAATGTTATGTTACATGGCAAAGGGAATTAAGGTTGTGCATGGAATTAAGGTTACTAATCAACTGACCTTAAAATAGGGAGATTTTCCTAAATTGTCCTTCTAGGTGCAATGTAATCCCAAGGGTCATTAAGATTGGAAGAGAGGCTAGAGAGGAAAGGGACAGAGTGAGGTGGATATGTGAATATGAAAGAAAGGTATAGAGAGATGCAACATTCGTGGCTTTGAAGATGAAGGAAGGAGTTCTCCAGAAGCTGGAAAAGCAAGAAAAGAGACTCTTTTCTAAAACCTCCAGAAAGGAATGTAGTATTGCAGACACGTTGTTTTTAGACCTGTGAGACTTGTGTCAGACTTCTGACCTACATAACTGTAAGATAATACATATGTGGTGTTTTAAGCTGCTACATTTGTAGTAGTTTTTTAAAACAGTAAGCAGAAAACTGATAAACAGTGTTTTAAAGTTTTAGTTATGTCATTTGTAAAAAGCATTTAGCTGTATTATTTTTAATCCAATGTGATGTTTTTGTCTTTTCATAAATGAACTTGGGAGACTGAGTATTGCTTGAGGCCAGGAGGTCAAGACCAGCTTGGGGAACATAAAAAGACCCTTTCTCTATAAATACATACATACATACATACATACATACATACATACATACAACAAACTGTTTGTCCTTATTGTGATTACTGATAAATTTGGATTTATTTTTCTAATACTGTTTTGTAATTTCAATCTTCTGGGGCTTTTTCTCTACTTTCCTGCTTTTTACTGGATTAAGTTTTCTTTCTTTTTTATTCCACTTGTTTGGAAGTAACACATTCTTTTTCTTTTTAATCCCAGATGCAGATGGTTAATTGTATTTCTTAGTTTAGAGTACATTATCAACTTTGGTCTGTGCAGGAATCCCCTTATTTTATTACTTCATTTTCCCCTAACTTTCAGCACTCCTGTTTCTCTATTTACATTCTTAGCCTATATGTTTAATATGTGTCTTTAAATGTATGTTTATGCTTACAAAATATTGCTTTGTTGTTTTTGTCCCTGTAAAATATGGTCAATACCCGGGTACTCATTTTCAGTTTCTTATTCCATTTCTAGCTTTTTAAAAAACTCGAATTGTGTTTTTGAGATCTAGTCACATTGTTTTTGAACATCAAGTTTGTTGCATATGACCTCTGTGTGACATTCAATAGTGTACATTACCATTACCATTTTACTCTTTATTTTTCCTGTTGTTGGACGGCTACATTTAACTCAGTACCCAGCTATTACAAACAAGGCCATGATAGACTCATTGTATATGTTTCCTTACAAATCAGTGTAAGAAGTTCTTTGATATATTTATACAGAATCTGGATAAATACATACATTTATTTTCATTAAATACCTCTAGAATGCTTTCCAAAGTTACTGTACTAGTAGCTATTTCCTTCAGATGTGTATAAGTTGTCATTAGCTCACATCCTTGCCAACACTTGATGTTTTCTAGCTTTGTATTTCTTTTTCATTTTGCTGAATATAAAAGTGATTTTATTTTTAATTTGTATGTATGTGATTACTCATGAGTTTGGGCATTTCTTCCTATGCTCTTTTCTATTTTCTATAGCACTGACTATCTTTTAAATATTTATTTGCATGGGTTCTTTGTGAGTTCTAAATGTCAATCTTTTGTTGGTTTTAGACATTGGAAATATTTTCTGCATTATGCCATCTGCCTCTTATTTTTTTATTTTGCCCATCTTTGAGCAGAAATCATAAATATTGAAGTAAATATATAAATCTTTTCGCTTTATAATATGTACTTTTTGGCTGTTGTTTAATCATTTCCTATATAGTATTTTCTAGTTGGTTATTACTGGTATGGAGGAACACTTTTTTCCACCCTTGGTTGATACCATATGTAGGACCTTTGATAAAGTCTTCAGAAAGATGACTTTAGCAAAGGTGCTAGATTTTAGTGATTTTTCTTCATAGATGATTATTTCATCTGCAAATACCAATACTTTTATCTTGTCTCTTCTACACCTTATACTGCTTAAGCCTCTTTCAAGTTTTGTAGTAGTGGCCAGGGTCTGTTTACTCTGCTGAGAAGTAGTGGTTCTGGTAGGTATTCTTTTCTTCATCCTAATCTTATTGAGACTGTTTCTAAGGTTTCCTCGTTAAGTATAATGTTTACAGTAGACTTTTGATATATAGTCTTTTTAAAGATAAATGTTTCCATATGTATCTATTATATATAAGTGTTCAACTTTATTTTTTTCTATTACTATTAACAGTTTATTGGAAGTTTGATAAACTATAAAACCATCCAGACTAGTTCTTTTTTGGGGGGGTGTCAGGTCTGTGATTACCATTTCCATTATTTTAATAATTATTATCTATTCAAAAATTTTATGACATTTGTACCAATTTGTCATTTCTATTTTCATATAAATTTATCTAAGCACTTAGCTTTTCACTCATCTTATTTATTTTTTATAGTCTTTATAGTTACTTCTTTTTTATTCTGTGTTTTAAGTTATTGTACCTTTTCCTTTTTTGGACAGCCTTCCTCTAATTTTTCTGTTTTATATATACATATATAAGTATACTTTATATATACATAGATAATCTATTTTATATATACATATATAATATAATATATATTACATTTGAAATATATATACATATTTCAAAATAAGTTCATTTGCTTTGGCTAATTTCTATTCTTTTTTTTTTTTTTCTTTTTTTTTGAGACGGAGTCTTGCTCTGTCCCGCACGCTGGAGTGCAGTGGCGCGATCTCGGCTCACTGCAACCTCCGCTCCCAGGTTCATGCCATTCTCCTGCCTCAGCCTCTTGAGTAGCTGGGACTACAGGTACCCACCACCACGCCCAGCTAATTTTCTTTGTATGTTTCGTAGAGACGGGGTTTCACCGTGTTAGCCAGGATGGTCTCCATCTCCTGACCTCCTTAGCCAGGATGGTCTCCATCTCCTCACCCCAAAGTGCTGGGATTACAGGCGTGAGCCACCGCGCCTGGCCACTCTATTCTTTATTTATACTTTAATTGATTTCTGCCCTTATCTTTATTACATCCGCTTTCCTCTTTGAGTTCGCTTATTACTTTTTAAAAATGTTTGAACTCATTTGCTTTAAATATTTCTTTTTTTTTTCTCACACATGCATTTAAAATAAAAAACTTCCATCTAAATTCTTTTTCTCTGCCCCAAAAATGTGGGCCAGTTATATTTTCACTGTTGTTAAGTTCCAAGAACATTGTACTTTTCTTTAAGATTTCCTCTTTAACTCAAATATTACTTAATAATTTGCTATTTAGGTTCCAGTAAAATAGGATATGTTTAAAGAAATTTTTTGGTAATTATTTAAAAATATTTTTGCATTTTGATAGATATATCTGCTTTGATTTACCTAGATTTCTTGACACTTTCTTTCTAGACTAGTATTCAGCCATTTTTTAAGATTATTCTATTGTGTGCTCAAAAAGAATGTATTTTTTGTTCTTGTGATGAATTATTTCTTAATATATTGCTGCACATCAATTATGAT